>NC_000006.12:94417035-94567973 GCF_000001405.40 Homo sapiens | reverse complement strand
ATATTTTGTTACATGTAACTAATCAAAATCATTTTTCAGTGAAATTTTACAGTGGAATGGAATTTGATTAAACCATCAGTCCCTTCAAATGAAGAGATGAAAATTAGGATTTGGAGAGGTATAAGTTACTAGCTAAAATTCTAGCTATAGTTAGTGTCAAAGGAGAATGACCATCATCTTTTAACTTATCACTGGGCTCTTTAAACTACTCTATCACTTTCTCCTCTTATCCTAAGAATATATGCTGTATAATATAAAATATATTAAGAATAGGCTATGAAATTCAGCCCCTAAATTTGAGTTTTCACTATTCCCTATTCTTTACATGTCTAAAGGTGAATACGGTGAGCAAAATTCAGCAAAATAAAAGTCCCAAACAGATCTCTAATATATATTACTCAATCCAATTGACCTATAACTCTTACAAATTTTCAATCCAAGCATCACAGGCTTGAAAATGTAATTGCTTTTAACTGCTCCCTACTGTCCCATTTTAAGCTATCCATCTGTATTTCTGCTTTGGAGAAATGTAGAGAAAATTAATGTGACTGTGAATCAAAATGATAGGTATAAAACAGTATAATATTTGTGGCTTTTGTACTGACTTTTTGGGTTGAAGGAAGAAAAATACAATAATTGAGTTTTATTTCTTGTCTTACTCCCATTCACACTTCAAAAATTATCTTCAACATTAAAAAAGATACAAAAATCTCTAGATAACCTGTGATAAAGGGAAAATAGTTCCTTAAATCTACATGGTTAATCCTAGGCACTTCTAATCAGAGATTACAATAAAGCAAAATAGATCACCATTTTGTTAGAAGTATGTCAGTGTTATTACATCCATAAATTATAATAACTTTTTTAAGTTTAAAATGAGGCCATTGTGATTTGTATTGAATAGCTTCTTTGAAATTATAATCCAGTGTTCAAGCTCTGAGAAACTACAACATAGCTTGTCAATGGTTTAATATAAAAGGAAATTCATTCTTTACCTCTATCCCTCAAAAGACATTCAAAGTTAAGAAATATCTAACATACAACATCCTTTCTTATAGTTCCTATAGGATTAGACCCAATTTACCACAGTCTATATTGCAGAGCTTCTTATCTCCATCCCAAATATACCTTTGTCAGTTCCCAGTCCATAGTACTTTTTCTTGCCCTTTCACCCCAAATCCCTTCCTTATCCCTTTAAAATATGACTATAATTTTTTCCATCTTCTACCTGTCATTCATTGTAGAAGGTTGCTACTTAAAAAGTTTGTAAATATTTGCTTGGAAACAAAGGAGGGAATAGTAGAAACATTATTTTGCATTCTTGAAAGATGACAATTAAAGTTATGCAGCGGTAAAATAAAAAAAAAATAGTGAAAGTTTTACCTGAAATACAGTACTTGGGAGACAGGTGATATACAAAATAAATTTTTAGGATGAGAGAAAAAAGACACAAAACAATGTTATTATTATTTGTCAGGTTGTATTGACTTCTCCTTGATAAGAAAGAGAGGAGCTCAAGAAAGAGTTTGCATTGGCAAGCAAGATTGCAAGGTTACGAGAAATTCATGGCCTTGCAATGTTGGAAAAGCCAACCAATCAACTAATTTCATACTCCAAACGGTGAGAGAAGAAATGCAAAATGTTTTGGTGGGGGAAGAAAGATAGACTTATGGGTCTGCTATCACACATACGATTAAAACCCAAGGTAAATAGAAATGTTTCAGATGAAATCTAAAGGTCTAGGGAGAAGGAAATCCTTTAAATTAGACAAAAAATGACTCAGGGGAAGAAACAATTAAGAATGTTGACTCTTCCACCAAAGTTAGATAAGCTTGAATTATATGCGAACACAATTAAGTAAAGTGGAACCAAGATGGAGAAACAACAGCAAAGGCATATCCTGCTTCTGGAAATTGTCTCATAAGGAATTTGGGGCTTGTTTACTTGGAAATGTATTTGACTGACTATTTATGAGAGATGTAATGCTAGAAGAATCACTGATCTGGGAAGACACTGAAAAAAGTTACTATTTAAGACTGAAAATTGGATCCTTAGAAGCCTAGGGACTGAGAACAAGCTGAAAATGCTACTTATTCCTAAGTCCCAGGTGGCTTCTCAGATACAGTCAAAGACAATGTAGGAAAATAAGCAATTCTTAAAGTACTGAGTCATGGAACACAGAGTTATCCTCAGAAAGAGACATTTGTAAAAATTTATTTACTGCAAGAAATTGCAAACATATATATATATGAAAAAAACAGCTGAAATTCAGATTTCAAGTACAAGGAGTGAGATTCTTCTATACTGCTTTTAACAGGTTTATCGATGTGTTTCAACTAGGTGAAGTTAACATAGAAAATGGTTTAACTGATCTCCAATCACTGCATTCAAGTATGCCTTCAATCAAATTTAAGTTTAAGATCCTTGAGGGCAGGCATTTTATTTGTTTTGTGCATGGCTGTATCGCCAGCAACTAGAGCAATGCCTGCTATGTGGTAGGTGCTCAGTAAATATTAATTTGCTAACTGAATTAATAAATGCTTGTTTTAGTCCATTTTCACACTGCTGATAAAGACATACTCTAGACTGGGAAGAAAAAGAGGTTTAATTGGACTTACAGTTTCACATGGCTTGGGAGGCCCCCTCAGAATCATGGCAGGAGGTGGAAGGCACTCCTTACGTGGTTGCAACAAGAGAAAAATGAGAAAGATGCAAAAGAGGAAACATCTGATAAAACCCTCAGATCCTGTGAGACTTATTCACTACCATGAGAACAGTATTGGGGGAACCTCCCTCATGATTCAAATTATCTTCCACCGGGCCCCTCACACAACACATGGGAGTTATGGGAGTACAATTCAAGATGAGATTTGGGTAGGGACACAGCCAAACCATATCATTTCGCCCCTGGCCTCTTCAAATCCTGTGCCCTCACATTTCAAAACCAATCATGCCTTCCCAACAGTCCCCCAAAGTCTTAACTCATTCTAGCATTAACCCAGAAGTCCACAGTCCAGAGTCTCATCTGAGACAAGGCAAGTCCCTTCCACCTAAGGGGAAATAACAGCAGTGACAAGAGTGACTATGGTTTTCCACATGCCATCTGGGAAGACCTTAGTTATTGGTATTCAAAATCTGTCAAAGAAAATATAAAATAGCTGAAGAATATCACAAACCACAAAATGTTTGCTAATATGAAAAGTTAATTTCCTCAGAGCAACAAGAGTATATGGGGTTATGAAGCTAGAATTGTGCTTACCTCCACCAAATTATAACTGAGAGGAGGAAAAACAAAACAACAAAAATCGGTTGGCGTAAAAGATGGGACATTGGCCAACATCAAAGATTAGCCCCTTTGAGTCTCTCTTGCAACACATATGGCATTGGGGAAAGAAATACTGTCCCTATAAAATGCATATTTATAAATCCTTCCACAACCCAGAGACAAGCCTACATTCAGTTTTACATTCATTCAAATACTCTTCTGCCATCAAATGAGAAGAATTAGAAAAATATTTCTTTAAATGGTCACAAAAACAAATGTTTATTGTGTCATTTATTATTTATTAATAGAGTAGAATACTTTTTCTAAGTAGCAGATACATTTTTATAAGGGAAGGATTAAATGGTAAAATACTATGATTTTATTTCTGTGGTCTTAGAAGTTGGTACACTTTTTTCTTCTTTACAGAATAACTTAATATGTATAAAACAACGTAGGACCAGAGGTGAAAATCCGCATTTATTTGTTGAGACTGAGAATAATTGAGTTTGGGAAGCAGTCCTAAAGAAATTCATATATATGTGCATATATATGAAGTCATAGTTCTCGCATATAATTATATACATAGTTACATATAATACATAGTTTACATATATAATGTGTATAATAAATATGTGTATACGAGTATTATATTTAAATAATATATTATGTGTATATGTGTGCATGTGTATGCATATTCATATATTTATTCGTATATATATTCATATATATGTATTCATATATATATATACACATATATATTCAGCCTAGACTGCTCCTCTGAGATTCAAATTCCAATACCTAACTGCCTGTTTAATGTCTCCCCATAGATACCTAATAGTTTCCTTATATGGCATTGCTGACTTTTTTCCTCCCAAACCTACTCCTCTCAGTTTTCCTCACTCAGCAAGCAGCACCACCGTTAATCTGGTTGTTCCTGGACAAATATAGCATGTCACCTTTTACCTCTCTCATTCTACCTCAGCCTATATTCAATCCTACTTCCCCTTCCGTTATATTTTACAGATGTTATTTCCCCCAAAACCTCCTGTACTTCTAACTCCTTCCCAGTGTCTGTTAACTGGAAGTCCTGGACTGACACTCTTCCCATGATGTATAAGGCTGTCAAGGATCTGGGCTTATTCTTTTTGGGAGTTCTGTCCAATCTTTGTAAGCAAGGAGATATGTTAAATTATACTTTATTTTCTAGATTTTGGGCAAGCCCTTCACTTCCCATAATTTGTATGTTCTGTGTTATAAGCCTGACTTGTGTGAACGATGATTTTGAGAACTCAATATATACTACTTTAATTTGTCAATTTACAATAAAAATACACTTTTAAAAAAGAATAATGAGACCACTTTCCTCATTTAGGTTACGTAATGGAGATGAAAGGCAAGCTACAGGAAGTGAAATTGGCAATTCTTCTTGGTCCCTGTTTGGGAAAATGTGAATCTCATCCTCTCAGTTTCTAGTTTGACAGACTATAAGGTAAGGAAAAAAACTCAAAACAAACAAACATGAGCCATTGGCAAGGTTGGTCTGACAGGATATGAAATCAAACACCGAAGAAGCTTTTTAGGACCCTATAAAATGTTAAACTTACTATAAATTTCTTATTGCACCACGAAAGCATAAGTAAGGCTAATAAATCAAATAATTTTGGAGAGCCTTGGGTCTAATTTTTAGAACCAACAATAAAAATGGGTTTTGAACATAGATGTCCAAGATTTGGCACACACAGGAAAAGCTGTAGATAAACAATGATGTCTAATATTGTTCAGGATGCTTAGCTCTTGTAGGTTTATAGCATTTGAAATAAAGCCTCAGATTTCCTGGTGCCTATTATGTCATATGAGTCTGGAGCCCTGGATTCGTCTTCAAACAATTCATTTGATTTAACTGAACCCAGTGCATACTTTAGCTACTAGAATTATTCAATGTCTATTTTAACTGAAGAACTCTGAATACATTGATGATCACTAGTCATTTCATGAATATAAGTTATGTTTTAACCTAAATGCACTGGCCCTATTGCCTATATCTTTATTATACTAGCTTCACTAGTCTTGGATTTGAAACATGTTGAGATGTGTTGAACATGTAAAACACATACTGTAACTATGAAGCTTTAGAAGACAAAATTATGTATAACACATCAACAATTTTTACATTGCTTACATGTTAAAATAATTATATTTTAAATATATTTGATTAAGCAAAAGATTATTGACGTTAATTTAACCTCTTCTTTTTATTCTTTTAAATATGCCTACTAAAAAATAAAATTACATATTTGACTTGCATTATATCTCTATTGGATAAGTTTAATCTATATGTCTTTTAAAATGCCATTTCATTATATGGTCAAATAGTCCATCAGAGAATAGGCCCTATCAATGAGTTGACATATAGAGTCTAAAAATATGAAAAGAAAGGAATGCATGGATAGTAATTCCATAATTGATCATTGTGATGCTCTTTCACCTTGTGGAAAATTTTGTGAAGAAAAACAGATTATTTATAACATTATTAACCTTTCCTGATCTTTGAATATATATTGAAATTTAAATGTTCACAGGAAAATTTAACTCTAAATCATAATGCATACAATGCTGGCTCTGGGGTATTAATGTTCATTTAATACTGACATTTTTCCCATTTTATTGTGAATATTTGCAAGTTATATTGCAAGAATATTTGCAAGTGGTTAAATTAACTGCAAAGTATAGAACAGTTGAGAGAAACTTCTACGGAACATCCATATACCCAAACACTTAAATTCTACCATTAAATTTTTTTTCCAGGCATGAAGTGTTTATTGAATGTCTGCTATTTATAAGGTTTCAGGGCTTACAATCACAAAGCAGAGGGAGCTTCTTAATGTCATGGAGGATGAAGTCTAGAAGAAGAAATATACACAAAACACACAGATGCACAATTACCTGTGATATGTTTTAAGAGACAAAAGCACAGAGTGTGATGGAAAATAATGTTACAGGTGGTACTTGCATTTGAGATTGGAAACTTTTTGTCTGAGGCTGAGCATGGGTTGGTTGAGGAGAAAAAATGTTGGAACTGGAGGGAGATTCAAGACAGAAGAAACAACCTGCACAACAGCCTGGTGGCAGCAGGAGTTGACAAATTTTAGAAACTGAAAATAGCCAGTAAGCCCTTGAAGTAGGTTACTTGGTCTCTCCAAGTCTCTGATTCCCCATTACACCCTAAGCATAGTGGACAAGGCAAAGATGATAGAAGCTGAGGCCACAGAGGTAGGAAGGGGTCACTCATTTAAGACCTTGGAGCCTAAAGAAAGAAGACTGCATTCTATTCTGAAAAGCGTGAAGTCACTGGAGGTGCTTTACCTTTTTATTTGCTTTTATAAAGTGGGTATTTTCTTTCATCATATTTCTTTTTATGACTTACTTTCTGTTTCTAACTTTCATAATTTTTGAAAGGCTGGATCTCCTGGCAACAAATTCTTAGTTTTCCATCATCTGATAATGTCCTGATTTCCCTCATTATAGTTGTGTGAGAGTAAAGGTCCTCTTTGGGGTGCACTTTGGGGTACACTTAAATTCTTGAATCTGCAGATTTACATATTTTGCAAAATTTGGGGACTTTATAACTATTATTTCTCCAAAGACTTTTTCAGATCCACCCTCTTCCTCTCCTCCTGAGAGAGACTGATGACATGAAAGTTAGGTCTTTTGTTACAGTTTTACAGTTCTTGAGGATCTGTTCTTCTTTTTTGTTTTTTTTTCAATCTGTTTTCCCTGTTACTCAAGTGGATTATTTCTATTGTTCTCTCTTCAAGTTGACAGAGTCTATCCTTTGTCTTCAACATTCTAATATTAAGCAATCCATTCTTAAAATGTCTTTTTCTTTCAGTTATTATATGCTTCAATTCAATGGAACCAAGAAACACATTTCCATTTCCATCATTTTGTATTTATGTCTCTACTAATCATTTCTATTTTTCAATTTGTTTCAAGTATGCTCATTTTTGTGATTGCTGCTTTAATATACTTGCCATATAATTGCAATATCTGTATAATTTGGGTGTTGGCCTCTGTTGAATGACTTTTCTAATTCCAGTTGAGATTTTCATGTTCTTGGTTTAACAAGTGATTTTGTATTAAATCTTAGACATTTTGAGTCTTATGTCATGAAACTCTGAATTATATTTAAATCATCTGTTTTACTAGGCCTTTTCTAACACTGTGCCCACAGAGGAGAGAAAGTACTATCTCATTACTGCCAGATGGGGCAAAAGTCCAGGTCTTCCACTCTACCTCTGTTGATACCCCAGGAGTGAGAAGGTGCCTCCCTACTACAGGGCAGAGTGTGGTGAAACCTCTCCCTGGGCTTTCCCTAGTACTAGGCTGGCTGGAGAGTCAGGGGTGCCTTATGACTGCTCCACATGCCCTCCTTCTTTCCCAGGTGAGAGACATGTTATCTTTGGGCTGTGAAAAGTCCTGGCTCTCCAGTTGGCCTCCTCTGACACCTTCTAGCAGGTTGAACCAAAAGGGACCCTCATTAAATCAGGGTGGATGTAGTTTAAGATCTCTATGTGGTCTCCACTGACTAAAGATGGGTGAGGGCAAAACAAAACCTCTCATTATCATGCAGATGTAGTGAAAGGCAGTTCTTCATTCTGCCTTCAGTCCTGTTGTGACATACTTCTGGTGGCAATCCAAGGGTGCTTCATTACAGCTGGCTAAGGGTGGAAGACTAGGCCCCCCGTTAGGTTTTTCTTGGAAGGGCTATTGTGAGTCCACACCTTAATGTCTGGACAGTGGGGCAGTTCTTACTTAGATGTTTTCCTTCCTGCTAGGCTGTCTTTCCCCTGGCTTTTCAACTAGAGAGATCAGGCTCTTGTTTGGCTTTTCTGTCTTTAACTGTTGGTGTTTTGTGACTCCCAACTTCTCTACCTCCCAATCAGTCATATATGAAGCAAAAAGAAAACCTAGACAACACACTGCCATGTCATTCTTTGTTCACAAGGGCCTTCAACAGTCTACCTTCTTCCCTCCACATTTTCGTTATCTTATGTTGATTTTATGTAATTACATTTGTCCATGGTTTTCAGCTACACTTTGTCAGGCCTCTGAGCCCAAGCCAAGCCATCGCATCCCCTGTGACTTGCACCTATACGCCCAGATGGCCTGAAGTAACTGAAGACTCACAAAAGAAGTGAATATGCCCTGCCCCACCTTAACTGATGACATTCCACCACAAAAGAAGTGTAAATGGCTAGTCCTTGCCTTAACTGATGACATTACCTTGTGAAAGTCCTTTTCCTGGCTCATCCTGGCTCAAAAAGCACCCCCACTGAGCACCTTGTGACCCCCACCCCTGCCCACCAGAGAATAACCCCCTTTGACTGTAATTTTCCATTACCTTCCCAAATCCTATAAAACGGCCCCACCCCTATCTCCCTTCGCTGACTCTCTTTTTGGACTCAGCCCGCCTGCACCCAGGTGAAATAAACAGCCATGTTGCTTACACAAAGCCTGTTTGGTGGTCTCCTCACACGGACACGCATGAAATTTGGTGCCTTGACTCGGATCGGGGGACCTCCCTTGGGAGATCAATCCCCTGTCCTCCTGTTCTTTGCTCCATGAGAAAGATCCACATACGACCTCGAGAAAGATCCACATACGACCTCAGG
Organism: Homo sapiens; assembly: GCF_000001405.40. Taxonomy (NCBI): domain Eukaryota; kingdom Metazoa; phylum Chordata; class Mammalia; order Primates; family Hominidae; genus Homo; species Homo sapiens. Next base: position 94,559,036 of record NC_000006.12, on the reverse strand, counting down.
TCCTCAGACCAACCAGCCCAAGAAACATCTCACCAATTTCAAATCCGGTAAGCGGCCTCTTTTTACTCCCTTCTCCAACCTTCCTCACTATCCCTCAACCTCTTTCTCCTTTCAATCTTGACGCCACACTTCAATCTCTCCCTTCTCTTAATTTCAATTCCTTTCAATTCCTTTGGTAGAGACAAAGGAGACACGTTTTATCCGTGGACCCAAAACTCCGGCGCCGGTCACGGACTGGGAAGGCAGCCTTCCCTTGGTGTTTAATCACTGCAGGGATTGCTCTCTGATTATACACTCACGTTTCAAGGGTGTCAGACCACACAGGGATGCCAGCCTTGGTCCTTCACCCTTAGCCGCAAGTCCCGCTTTTCTGGGGAAGGGGCAAGTACCCCTCAACCCCTTCTCTCCTTGTCTCTACCCCTTCTCCTTCACCCCAGTGGCAAGTCCCGCTTTCCTAGGGGGCAAGAACCCCCCAATCGCTTACTTCCACACCCTGACCTCTTATCTCTGTGCCCCAATCCCTTATTTCCGTGCCCCAACCCCTTCTCTGCTTTTCTGGAGGGCAAGAACCCCCCACCCCTTCTCCGTGTCTCTACTCTTTTCTCTGGGCTTGCCTCCTTCACTATGGGTAAGCTTCCACCTTCCATTCCTCCTCCTTCTCCCTTAGCCTGTGTTCTCAAAAACTTAAAACCTCTTCAACTCACACCTGACCTAAAACCTAAATGCCTTATTTTCTTCTGCAATGCTGCTTGACCCCAATACAAACTGGACAGAAGTTCCAAATAGCCAGAAAATGGCACTTTGAATTTTTCCATCCTGCAAAATCTAAATAATTCTTGTCGTAAAATAGGCAAACGGTCTGAGGTGCCTGACGTCCAGGCATTCTTTTACACATCAGTCCCTTCCTAGTCTCTGTGCCCAGTGCAACTCGTCCCAAATCTTCCTTCTTTCCCTCCCGCCTGTTCCCTCAGTACCAACCCCAAGTGTCGCTGAGTCTTTCTAATCTTCCTTTTCTACAGACCCATCTGACCTCTCCCCTCCTCGCCAGGCTGAACTAGGTCCCAATTCTTCCTCAGCCTCTGCTCCTCCACCCTATAATCCTTTTATCACCTCTCCTCCTCACACCTGGTCCGGCTTACAGTTTCGTTCCGTGACTAGCCCTCCCCCTCCGCCCAGCAATTCACTCTTAAAAAGGTGGCTGGAGCCAAAGGCATAGTCAAGGTTAATGCTCCTTTTTCTTTATCCCAAATCAGATAGCGTTTAGGCTCTTTTTCATCAAATATAAAAATCCAGCCCAGTTCATGACTTGTTTGGCAGCAACCCTGAGACACTTTACAGCCCTAGACCCTAAAAAGTCAAAAGGCCGTCTTATTCTCAATATACATTTTATTACCCAATCTGCTCCCAACATTAAATAAAACTCCAAAAATTAAATTCCAGCCCTCAAACCCCACAACAGGATTTAATTAACCTCGCCTTCAAGGTGTACAATAACAGAAAAAACTTGCAATTCCTTGCCTCCACTGTGAGACAAACCCCCCAGCCACATCTCCAGCACACAAGAACTTCCAAACTCCTGAACCGCAGCGGCCAGGCGTTGCTCCAGAACCTCCTCCCGCAGGAGCTTGCTACACTTGCTGGAAATCTGGCCACTGGGCCAAGGAATGCCCGCAGCCCGGGAGTCCTCCTAAGCCGCGTCCCATCTGTGTGGGACCCCACTGAAAATCGGACTGTTCAACTCACCTGGCAGCCACTCCCAGAGCCCCTGGAACTCTGGCCCAAGGCTGTCTGACTGACTCCTTCCCAGATTTTCTCAGCTTAGCGGCTGAAGACTGACACTGCCCGATCACCTCGGAAGCCCCCTAGACCATCACGGACGCCGAGCTTCGGGTAACTCTCACAGTGGAAGGTAAGCCCGTCCCCTTCTTAATCAATACGGAGGCTACCCACTCCACATTACCTTCTTTTCAAGGGCCTGTTTCCCTTGCCTCCATAACTGTTGTGGGTATTGACGGCCAGGCTTCTAAACCTCTTAAAACTCCCCAACTCTGGTGCCAACTTAGACAATACTCTTTTAAGCACTCCTTTTTAGTTATCCCCACCAGCCCAGTTCCCTTATTAGGCTGAGACACTTTAACTAAATTATCTGCTTCCCTGACTATTCCTGAACTACAGCTATATCTCGTTGCCGCCCTTCTTCCCAATCCAAAGCCTCCTTTGCGTCCTCCTCTTGTATCCCCCCACCTTAACCCACAAGTATAAGATACCTCTACTCCCTCCTTGGCAACCGATCATGCACCCCTTATCATCTCATTAAAACCTAATCACCCTTACCCCACTCAACACCAATATCCCATCCCACAGCACACTTTAAAAAGATTAAAGCCTGTTATCACTCGCCTGCTACAGCATGGCCTTTTAAAGCCTATAAACTCTCCTTACAATTCCCCCATTTTACCTGTCCTAAAACCAGACAAGCCTTACAAGTTAGTTCAGGATCTGCGCCTTATCAACCAAATTGTTTTGCCTATCCACCCCGTGGTGCCAAACCCATATACTCTCCTTTCCTCAATACCTGCCTCTACAACCCATTATTCTGTTCTAGATCTCAAACATGCTTTCTTTACTATTCCTTTGCACCCTTAATCCCAGCCTCTCTTCACTTTCACTTGGACTGACCCTGACACCCATCAAGCTCAGCAAATTACCTAGGCTGTACTGCCACAAAGCTTCACAGGCAGCCCCCATTACTTCAATCAAGCCCAAATTTCTTCCTCATCTGTTACCTATCTCAGCATAATTCTCATAAAAACACACGTGCTCTCCCTGCCAATCGTGTCCAACTGATCTCTCCAACCCCAGCACCTTCTACAAAACAACAACTCCTTTCCTTCCTAGGCATGGTTAGCGCAGTCAGAATTCTTACGCAAGAGCTGGGACCACACCGTGTAGCCTTTCTGTCCAAACAACTTGACCTTACGGTTTTAGCCTAGCCCTCATGTCTGTGTGCAGTGGCTGCTGCTGCTTTAATACTGTTAGAGGCCCTAAAAATCACAAACTATGCTCAACTCACTCTCTACATTTCTCATAACTTCCAAAATCTGTTTTCTTCCTCATACCTGATGGATATACTTTCTGCTCCCCGGCTCCTTCAGCTGTACTCACTCTTTAAGTCCCACAATTACCATTGTTCCTGGCCTGGACTTCAATCCGGCCTCCCACATTATTCCTGATACCACACCTGACCGCCATGACTGTATCTCTCTGATCCACCTGATATTCACCTCATTTCCCCATATTTCCTTCTTTCCTGTTCCTCACCCTGATCACGCTTGATTTATTGATGGCAGTTCCACCAGGCCTAATCGCCACACACCAGCAAAGGCAGGCTATGCTATAGTACAAGCCACTAGCCCGCCTCTCAGAACCTCTCATTTCCTTTCCATCCTGGAAATCTATCCTCAAGGAAATAACTTCTCAGTGTTCCATTTGCTATTCTACTACTCCTCAGGGATTATTCAGGCCCCCCTCCCTTCCCTACACATCAAGCTCGAGGATTTGCCCCCACCCAGGACTGGCAAATTAGCTTTACTCAACATGTCCCAAGTCAGGAAACTAAAATACCTCTTAGTCTAAATAGACACTTTCACTGAATAAGTAAAGGCCTTTCCTACAGGGTCTGAGAAGGCCACCGCAGTCATTTCTTCCCTTCTGTCAGACATAATTCCTCAGTTTAGCCTTCCCACCTCTATACAGTCTGGTAACAGACCAGCCTTTATTAGTCAAATCAGCCAAGCAGTTTTTCAGGCTTTTAATATTCAGTGAAACCTTTATATCCCTTACGGTCCTCCGTCTTCAAGAAAAGTGGAACGGACGAAAGGTCTTTTAAAAACACACCTCACCAAGCTCAGCCACCAACTTAAAAAGGACTGGACAATACTTTTACCACTTTCGCTTCTCAGAATTCAGGCCTGTCCTCGGAATGCTACAAGGTACAGCCCATTTAAGCTCCTGTATAGACGCTCCTTTTTATTAGGCCCCAGTCTCATTCCAGACACCAGACCAACTTAGACTGCACCCCCCCACCAAAAGAAAACTTGTAATCGCTACTATTTTCTGTCCAGTCATACTCCTATTCACCGTTCTCAACTACTCATACAGGCCCTGCTCTTGTTTACACTGCCGGTTTACACTGTTTTTCCAAGCCATCACAGCTGATATCTCCTGGTGCTATCCCCAAACTGCCACTCTTAACTCTTGAAGTAAATAAATAATCTTTGCTGGCAGGACTATGCCAAATCTCCTTAAGCACTCTCTAATCAGATATCCTGAGTCGTCCCAATTCTTAGATCTTTTATACCTGTTTTTCTCCTTCTGTTATTCCATTTAGTTTTTCAGTTCATACAAAACCGTATCCAGGCCATCACCAATCATTCTATACGACAAATGTTTCTTCTAACATCCCCACAATATCACCCCTTACCACAAGACCTCCCTTCAGCTTAATCTCTCCCACTCTAGGTTCCCACGCCGCCCCTAATCCCGCTTGAAGCAGCCCTGAGAAACATCGCCCATTCTCTCTCCATACCACCCCCCAAAAATTTTCGCCACCCCAACACTTCGACACTGTTTTGTTTTATTTTTCTTATTAATATAAGAAGGCAGGAATGTTAGGCCTCTGAGCCCAACCCAAGCCATCGCATCCCCTGTGACTTGCCCGTATATGCCCAGATGGCCTGAAGTAACTGAAGACTCACAAAAGAAGTGAATATGCCCTGCCCCACCTTAACTGATGACATTCTACCACAAAAGAAGTGTAAATGGCCGGTCCTTGCCTTAACTGATGACATTACCTTGTGAAAGTCCTTTTCCTGGCTCATCCTGGCTCAGAAAGCACCCCCACTGAGCACCTTGTGACCCCCACCCCTGCCCACCAGAGAACAACCCCCTTTGACTGTAATTTTCCATTACCTTCCCAAATCTTATAAAACGGCCCCACCCCTATCTCCCTTCGCTGACTCTCTTTTCGGACTCACCCCACCTGCACCCAGGAGAAATAAACAGCCATGTTGCTCACACAAAGCCTGTTTGGTGGTCTCTTCACACGGACGCGCATGAAACACTTGAAGGGAGAAATAGAGAAAAGTTCATGTATTCCATCTTGTTGAAAATACTGAATTTTAATACTATTTGAGAATCAGAGACTACATGCGTAATGTACACACACACACACACACACACACAAAATAAACACACATGCACAATGATATAAAGTGCTATATACTCATCTCCCTTCACATAACTTGTATCTTAGCAACTAGCAATGGTTTTTCATTATCCAAATTTTGTCCCATCTCAGGTATAAAAATATAAGGCCCATAAGTATTGATAAGACAGTTTGGCTTTCACAAACAATTAGAAACTTTCTCTTGTGTAAAAAAATCATCTGATAGTAACAATTCTAAAATATTTTGGTTTGTGCTTTCAACATTTAATGAATCAAGTCTAATAATGATATTCAGAAAATTATTTGGGGGGCAAATTTCAAGGTAATGATTTTTAATAAATATATTACTGTATTGTAATTTCAATAATATGCTGATAAAATTATAACATTATTTTTTTCTTAATCATAAGTGACTTCAATACCTGCTTTTAAATTTTTTAAGCTTATGTTACATTATATAATTTAGGAACTTGATATTTCTCCTCTCTATTTTATTAAATCATTTGTATTCTTGTAAGCTATCATGAAAACTTATATAAAAACAGAGATTGTCTTAGGTTTGGTTGTTATGAGAGATAGTTCAAAGAAACACTGGAAAAGGAATAAAAGTGAGACTTGGACAGGAAAAAAAACAACCAAAGACACATTAATGTGAGCGTTAGTATTGGGGCCACTGGTGGGTAAATCAGTGGATCTCTTGGAGACCGTATAAATCCTGCTCAGACTTTCCCACCACAGGGCAGAGAAAATGAATGTATTAATCCATTGATCCCCACCCATTTTTGCTTGCGAGCTGAACTTGGGGTGTTAACTCCCTAGCATCCTTAAGAAAGAATTTTCAGATGTTGCATTAAGAAATCATCAGCATTTACGGGAATGAGAAATGCCAACGTTGTATGGGCTGGCTTCTGACTGTGCCTGTCACACTGGAGTGAGTATAAGTAAAAAAATTAAATAATCAAGCAAATAAACAGCTACTATAAGCATGCATCTATGTGTTGAAGCAGTCAGAACTGCTTCATTAGATGTCTTGTCCCTTCGCTTTAAAGAAACTTTAGAGCAAAGACAGTTCAACTTTTCTTCCAGGCAGATTACTGTCCAGGGTTTTAAATTTTAACAAAATGAGGGCCATCCCACCACCATACATCAGTCCTGTCCCTAAAAACTTTGTATCTACACACACACACACACACACACACACACACACACACACAATTCAGCATTGAAAGAAAACACTAAGATATTCCAGTTATTTCCTTATTTAATGCCCCACAAAATAGTTGGTTTTAGTTTCTGCTTAAACAAATACTTTAAAACACTTTATCATTTATTTCATGGATATGAATTATAATCATCATATTTAAATATTTCCTGCTACCCAATTGAACCCCAAAATATTTGCCTATTTTATGCACATAAGAGACAAATATGACAGGGCTAAGCCACTCAAAAAATTACCTTAAATAATCTAATTTTTACTCAGTTGATATTTTTAATCTACATTTTGGGTAAAACATCAATGACATTCTATCTGGGTCCCTTTAACCATCTAAACACAAGCTCTGGAACCACATATTCCCCACTTGGTGGCAACTTTGGTCAGCAATTGCCCTGGACTTTCCCCACTTATATTTAACAGGTTGTCACTCAGACTCTCTCAGGAAAACTCGGGACTGTTCTCCAGAAGTTCTTACCTCACAGTCTCTGAATTTATCCTCCATTAAAGGAGTGTTCCTGCCACTTGGTCCTTGGCTTTTCCAGAATGACTTTTGTTGTTTTTATCACTTTAGCTTTCCCCTAGTTCTTTTATACCAGACTGTTATTCTTAAGTTTCCACAATGTGGATTTGTTCTCTCAAAATCGTGCTTGCTTTTCATGTCTTGAGGGTAAGGAAAGTAGGAGACAAATAGTGCCTTCCATATATCCCAAAGGATTTAGGCAAATGTAAGATAGAGTTCGTTCCTCAAGGATTTAAATGCACAATTTCACCTTCTCCAGAAAAGATAGTGAAACCATTTCCTGTCTTCCTATTTTATGTTTATATCAACAAGTGTTATAATTCAAGATAATATGTACTTCCTTTTATTCAAACAAAGTTCGTTCTGGGTAGAGAAAGTTAAGAACATGAAATGACACTTTCAACAGAAAGTGTTGTGTTTTTCAACAGATTTTGTCTCTTTGTAACTGTGACTAGAATTGAAGAAATATTTTAAGTCTATTTATCAATATACACATAGCACACACATGCACACTCACACACATTCATTGCTGCACACCTTTAAAAAATGCCCCTTTACAACCAGAAAATTGGTCTGTGCACTCTATCTGCTCAAATAAAGTAGAGTTTAATACAATCTGGCAATGCTGTTTAGGTTACAGCCTACATATTTTGCCCTTTATTCTCTTTTGCTCTTTTACCCAGAGGAGTCTATCAAGAAACCATGTACAGAAATATCAAGTAAAATATATCATAAAAAAGGGACTCTGAGAACCTAGTGACCTGAAAAAATGTTACTTATGAAACTAATGACCTAAGAATGCCTTTAAATCGAAGAGCATCTAGTACAGCAAAGAGACCTTCAAAATGGGCATGTAAGCACTGATCCAGATAGAAGATTAAATAGCACGATATATTAAAAAGCATAAGGTAAAATAAAAGTTGGAATTTTTCACTTGAAACAAGTATTTCACCCAGCAGCTGAGAAAGCATGCCTGCCTGCCTTGACATAATTTTATAGTCCTTTCTTGTTTTGGTGTTGGACTAGTTTACTCATTTTCTATATACAAAGAAACTGTAATAAGATATTTATATAACAAGTCAAATATTGATTCATGGGTATAAAATATGCCATCACAGTATGGTAACTAGGATTTTCATCAGCTTATTACTGCAATTAATCTGAAAAAATAAATGCAAATTGTCTTTAGAGGCTTGAATATATGTCATTCTCTATAATTTCTTTTAAATAATAATGATGTCTAACAATAAATTTCTAACATAATTCTATACCTATTAGTTCTTCCTATGTCTGATTATGAGGCTATACTAAACTTTATATTGGCCATAGTGAATAAAACCATTGACTTTCCATTTTCCAATCAATAAAATATTGACAAGCTTTAGAGCCAAGTGACAAAATCAAAAGCAGACATCCACAACACTTAGCTAAAGATTAGATCAATACATGAAGTTTCTATTAATGTTCACAATGACAATTTTATTTTATTTAACAGGAGAAAACATAGCTCTTCTGTCCTTTTTTTATTTAGAATAGATGAGCATTAGGTCAAATATGCATAATGAATTGGAGTGTGCAATTTCTTTAGATCAAAAAGAAACCCTTGAAGCTCAGAAATTCATTTTTAAACAGATATATTGTCCCCAGTGTACAGTTCAATAGACTTCATTAGAAATTATGGATGAAGAGTTAACAATGCTGAAAGGGACCACAGGCCTGCCTATACACAACTCTCAATAACCCGATTCATAGCATTGCACAAAATATGTTTTCTGTTTACATAATTAGCTGTTTTTTTCTACTTCCTGCCATAATTAAATAAATATAAAATGTTATTTATAATGCAATTTATGGTCCCAAAAAAAAACTCTTAAAATCTACATCAAGATCAAAATTAAACCTAATTACAGATCAATTCGTTGCAGATTTGCTTTCTATATCACTGTTACTAGAGGAAGTAAAAAATATACTTTTTACTCCATTTCTCATATTGTCATTTATTAGATCTAAGGATTTGTTTTTTTACATTAAAAAATAGAAATGTTCTTCCAACACATTTTCTACATTTTATTCGTTTTCATAATTTGATATTATTTAATAGGAAACCAGTTCATATTTACTGCGAAAGAAATTGGATAAAATCCAAAAAAAGAGTTCATCCATATTTTCACATCACTAAGTAAAACACTTTTGATATTTTTGCCTAATATACATGGTGTAAGCACTACAAGTTCTGATTTGAGGGCTTGCTTTCTAGGCTTACTTTCTAAACTTGCTTCCTCTACTCATGTAATAGTGTATTCTACAATTTGACTTCAAAGAGTTATACAGAATGACATTTACTTAGGCAATTTAATATTTGAGGAAACAGACTTTTTTCTTATTTTGCATTGTTAGAAATCATATTGTGATGAATATCCTTATACACTGTTTTTTTTCTTTTTTTTTAAATTTTTTACAGTTTGCCTTGGTTCATTTGGGCTGCCAAAAGGAAATACTATAGAGTAGGTAGCTTCTAACCAACAGAAAGTTATTTCTCACAATTCTGAAGGCTGGGAAGTCCAAGATCAAAGGGCCAGCAGATTCCATTTCTAGTGAGGAACTTTTCCTCATAGACGATGCCTTCTGTGTCCTCACATGGCAGAAGGATAAATTAACTCTCTGAGTCCTCTTTTAAAAGGGCATGAATCCTATTTATGAAAGCTCTGCCCTCATAACCTAATCACCTCTCAAAAGGCCCCACTTCTTAATATCATAACCTTGACAGTCAGGATTTTAACATATGAATTTGGCGGGGACACATATATTAACACCCAGCAGAATTATAAATTCCTACAAGAGGATTTTCTGTGTAAAGAGTATACATTATTTTTAGATATTTTCATTTCTTTTTCCTCTTGCTTTCTAGAAGTTTGTGCCACTTCATACTACTATCAACAGTGTCACATAATGTCTCCTTACCAGGCTCTTACTCACACTGGCAGACAGATGGATACCTGAATACATAAACACGCAGATTTAAATCTTACCAATTTAATAGGCAAAGCATGGTATTTTTATATTACTTAATTTCATATTTGTTACTACAATTAAGTGTAGATATTTTTATGTGTTTATTATTAAACACTGATATTTTTCTTGTGCAGAATGTTTATTTAAAAATTTTGCCAAATTATGTTTTCAGGAGTTTCTCATTGTTTTTGACAATATATGTCATTTTGTATTTTGTCAATGCTAAAAATATAAATAATGTATCCATCATATGTAATAGACAATTTTTCCTAGTTTGTCCCCAAACTTTTATTTTCTTATTTTTTAAGAATCTATTTCTTAAAATTTTACTTTATGTCTTATATTTTTCTTTATTGTCCTTTTAATGTACTTCAGGTACATATTTCTTTTATATTTTTAAAGTATTATATTTTGACTCTATGGCAAGGGACCAAGAAAAGGTCAAAGAAAAAATAACCATTATTTTCATTTGGTTTTTACTCAGTACAAAGGTTAATGTAAGTTTTCATGAGGTCTGCTTTAAACCTTGACCAGAGATGATAATTGGGAATAACTGTAGTTTCTTTTCAGAGTTAGAGACGAATGCTGAAAGACCATGAAAAATCTCAGAGACAAGTCATTTCTGGGACAATAAATAGCGGAAGACAGCATTTAACAATGAATTAAGGGAAATTCCATTCTTTCCTGTATTTCAGCACTGCGGAAGTCTACGAAGCAGTTAATGTTAAGAAATACCATTGACTAAAAAAAAAAAAATGATTTTCTGCATTGGATGTTAAAAGATATGAAGCAAGAAATTGACCATTCAGTGGAACAATGTGAATCCTAAATTATCTAAATAAAAACAAGAGGATCAGTTAATTCAGAAAAAAGAATTGTATAAATTCTGGAACTCGGTAGATATATTCTCCTTAACAAATTCTGGCAAAGAATTCTCCCAATCACTTATTCATTAGGGATTGAGAATTGACACTAGAAACAGATAACTTGTGCTTAATATTGTGCTTAAGCTTTAAGCATAGAAAATTTCCTTGATGCAAGGGGGTTACTGTGTCACCTCAAGTTAAAAGGCAATTTAGGAAGTGATATGTAACTAGCAGTTTGAAAGTATTCTAAATATTACTTGCTAACAAAATTCACTCTCTACAGAAGGGACATACCTAACAAAGAATACATCTTGCAGATTGCTACATAAAGAGTAAGTACATTGACAAATATTATGTACTTAAAATATATACAGCTCTGTACTTAGCATGCCACATAGAATTCCTTAATATTCCTCTTAACAGCTGTACAAGTTAACTTGACTTTTATACGCATTATACACATGAAAAAAATGAGATGAGAAAGGCCAAATAAAATGAATGAATGAATGAATGAGTTTTTAAAATTTATTTTGACATGAGAGCCAATCCTATCAGCCTTGCTGATTTCTTCAAAATACTTGCAAATAAGTTGCTATAATATAAAAACATCTTCTTATTGTTTCTCTCTCCTTAAGGATTTCTCTGAGACATTTCTAATATTTAAATCTTTTTTCCCATAGGTTGTCTTTCACGGTACTTTGTATACACTACTTTGGGTTCATATGCCTCAAGTGAAAAATTGGTCTAATAACATTAATACCTCTGTCACAACCCCATTGCACATGATCAGTTCTAATAATGGGTTTTAAAGTAATTTTGTTTTATTTTAAATTACTATTCAGATATCAGTCACTATGACATCAGACTTTTTACTCTCTGTGATAGTTATATATCAACTTAGCTGGAGTATAGTATCAAGTTATTCAATAAAACACTAATCTAGGTGTCACTGTGAAGGGATTTTGTAGATATGATTAACATCTACATTTAGTTGACACTAAGTAAAGGAGATTTTCCTTGATAATGTGGTCAAGCCTCATCCAATCAATTGAAAGGCCTGAGCTTTTCTAGAGGAAGAAGTAATTTTATCTCAGGACTCCAGCATTAGCTACTGCTGGACAATCCCAGCATCCCAACCTGCCCAACAGATTTTAGACTAGACTTACCACCTCATATGAGCACATAGCAGATTCCCAGAAATCAATCTATCTACCTATGTATCTATCAATCTATCATCTCTCTCCTACTGCTTCTGTTTCTGTAGATGACACTGACAGATGTGAATATTCACATAAAAGCTGTCAATATGCATGTTCCTTCCTACTACTTGTACCAATTAAGCAAAGAGTGTAACGGATGCATATTTTTCTAAAGAATTTCTGTATGTGTTCTCCGATTATTGGTCAGAAATAAAAATATGTTTATAATGCAAAATTCATAAAATGTGTATAAATGATAATGTATATGCCTATATAAGTGTGTGTTTTTCTGTGTATACATATATGTATATATGAGTGTGTGTGTATGTGTGTGCATTTTTTTGTAACTGATACTGTGGCCTTTTATATCTACCAAAATCCAGGACTAGTTTAGAAAAGAAATTACAGCAGCATTCTAAAATTTACTTGTTTGATATAAATATATTTTTGTAACTTTTTTTGCCTGACATTTGTGCTGTAAATCAAAAGTACTTTTGTGAAAGCAATTTTTTTAAACAATCTTCTCTGAAATTGTGTAGGAGGAAGTGAATCGCTACCACTCAATCCTGACATTAATTCAACAGACACATATTTTGATTTCTGAAGAATTATGGAAACATTCTTTCAGAAGAGAACAATGAAAGATAGCATTCTGTGTTTAGCACATTTCCCCTTTCCAAGTGGCAGTGGAGCGTTGTAACAGCAAAGTAAATTGCTTCTTATTTCTATGTGCTTTTTAAAACTGTGACACTGACTGAGCTGAACCACCAAGACCACATCTGTACACAGCTAAATAAAAGGTTTTACATGATGGCAAAACTGGGCAGAATTAATTTGTCCTTGGATGTACTGATGATTGCAATGCTTACACCACTGCTTTATACACAGTAGGGTAACACTCAGAGTACTATCATGAAATTCAGTTTTTAATTTAAAAGATTTTGAAAAAAGGACTCATTACACAGGTATGGCCAAGATGAAGAGACACAGAAACGTCTGATTGTATACTGTAGCATTAGTGACAGATTGCCTGAGCAAGAAGTGAGAAAAATATTACTGAAGCCTCAGAGAGTTTGAAGCTTTAGAAATAAAGCTGCCTAGCAAGAATTGCAACCATAGAATATAGTCATTGCCCCAGATTGAAGCAAGGCAAGGACAGGGGTTTGTTAGGAGTGATGAATACCTTGATCTTTCTCTGTTCCAGCCAGCCCTCTAATTTTCTGTGATACTACTGGCCAAACCCAATCAGAGGCTAAAATTCAAGTGATATTGGGTGATACGTGTGTAGGGCCAAAACTCCTTGAAAACAGAACAGGGAAGGGCTTGGAACAATGGAGTTTCAAGGAGAGTAGCAAATTAACATAGTAGACATACAATCTATAAGTTCGAGTTGAGGGCAGAAATCAGTCTAGGCTGTTCAATGGTATGAAGTCAGGAACAAGGATCATACTTCTGAGCCATATGGAGGTAAGATGCTAGAGGGAGATGGTAAGTAAGCTACTATTTTTTCCACTTATGTAAGTAGAAACAGAAAGGAGCATAGAGTTATAAAAACAAGAATGTTTCATGAAGAATTTTTTTTGTAAAGTTATGATAAAAATAAGAGAGAAAATAAGCGAAGGAAGAATATTTTTGGAAAGAGAAATTTAAAAATCTATAGATGTCAAGAATAAAATGCATTTAAAGAACCTTCACTGTTTTGACCATATAATTCAGGATTCATACCAAGAGTCAGAATTAATTTCTCAGGATATATGGGGAAGTGGAAGGGGACAAAAGTAAAACTCTGACTCAAAATACTAGTGCACAACCTCGGTTTTATTTTTATTATTGCCCTCTGAATTTTAGAAACTTCTGTTTCCATGGACTTTACATGACAAATAAAAATCAGCCATAAAATGTCTCTTTTTATATGAAGAAATATTACATTGAAGAATAATAATATAATTTATTTAAAAAATTATCAGAAATTTGGGGACTGTGATTTTGGAAAAATATCAGAAAGAATTCTAGCAAGCCCTCCAGGCAGAGGTGAGTATTTGACAGATTTGTAAACTGTTACTTACACTCCAGACTTGTATATTCAACTGCATGACATTTATACCTTGATGTCTAATAAGCATAAAAACCTAACACTGTTGGCTGGGCGCGGTGCCTCACGTCTGTAATCCCAGCACTTTGGGAGGTCGAGCCAGGTGGATCACCTGAGGTCAGGAGTTTGAGACCAGCCTGGCCAACATGGTGAAACCCCCATCTCTACTAAAAATACAAAAATTAACTGGGTATAATGGTGGGCATCTGTTATCTCAGCTACTTGGGAGGCTGAGGCAGGAGATTCACTTGAACCCAGGAGGCAGAGGTTGCAGTGAGCCGAGATCACACCACTGCACTCCAGCCTGGGCGACAGAGCAAGACTTAATCTCAAAAAAAAATAAAATAAATAACACTGTTAGGCTTGAATATATTTTTTGCCCATCAAACTAATGTTGAGTCTTGGTCCCCAATGTGGTGTTATTGGAAGGTGATGCCTTTAAGAGGTGATTAGGTTCTTAAGGGGGGATTAATGTCTTTCAGGAGTAGGTTCTCAGTTTTGCAGGACTGGATGAATTCTTTAGAGAGAAGGTTGTTATAAAGTGAGGCTGCCTCACATGATTGGTCTCTTTGCAGGTTCCCACTTACTCTTTTGCTTCTCCAGCATGTTGGAATAAGGCACGAGGCCCTCACCAGAAGGTGACCAGATGTGCCTGCTCAATCATGGACTTTCCAGCCTCCAGAATCATGAGCTAAGTTAAATTATTTCTTTATAAATTACCCAGTTTCAGGTATTTAGTTATAGCAACAGAAAATGGACTAAGACGCATCAGAAACAGACGCTTGACTTCCATCTCACTCCATTATTCTAAATCTGTCTCTCTCCCAGTATTTCTCATCTCTGTAAATGACAGTGATTGGTCCAGTTGAGCAAGTCAAACCCTATTAGTTATCATTGGTTTCTGTTATATTTCCTGCTTTTCCAAATCAAATACCTCATGAGGATGTATAGTCTCCAAATTATATATGTATATAGAATCTTTCATATTCTATTCTCACCATAAATAGTCTATTCTAAGCCATTTACATCCATTCCCTAATATAATGGAATAAACTCTATCTGCTTCTCATGCTTGTTTCTTTGTTATCCATCCTCCGCAAAGCAGCCACAGTGTGATTTCAAAATCAGAATGCAGATTATATCAATTCCCTGCTATATACTCTATGATATTTTCTTACTACTTTTAGCCTAAAGGCCTCTTCACTGCTCTCCTGTGATATTTTTTGTCCCTTTGCTCCTCACTTAAAATTCCTTAGTCACACTGTCTGTTAGGTTCCTGGAATCAGACAGGTACTTTCCCAAGTCTTCATATTAGCAAGTTTCTTTGCATGTAGGGATCTTTCTCCAGATCTCTGCCCCTCTTCTTGTTGTTATTATTGTCTCCATATAAATACCATCTCCTGCTAAAAAGAAGTTAAAAGTCACAAAATAGCCCAAGGTAAACATAACACTATTAAATAGTAGTAAGCTGAATCTGTTCAATGATGGGGGGGGAATCTTTCTAACAATTAAATATTGCTCTCATAAATACAAGCAGTCAGTAATAGCAACTAGAGAGAGTGATGCCAGAGGTACATAAATCCTTCATACAGGAAAATAGGAATAGTTTAATACTTACTTTTCAGATTAAGTAGTGTATCAGCGCACTTCATAATTTAACTATGTTATTCCTAATGTTATTTCGTGAGCTTTCTTAATTACAGTTAATGAATGTAGTAAATGAGTTTTATTAATTTGTATGAATGAACTGTTTTGTGGTCACTTTAATGTTATTTTCAGCTTCAAATTCTCTGACATTTAAAATGAAATAGCTGGCAGTTTTCGATTATCATTATGCAAAATTTTAGCACACTTAAAATTCCAGTTAATTTTGCTAGCAGGATTTTATTGATACTTGCACAATTAGAAAACTGAGAGAAAAAATAACATACACTTACAGATCTAACAGGCTTAACAAAACTCTAAAATAATCTTTTTAAATACCCTTTACCACTGACTATATTTTGAATGCTTTCTGTAGCAACAAAAACAATAAGTCTTGAAAACTACCCTTAATCAACTAAAGAAAAGGATAATCCACTTCTTTCTTTCTTTCCAACTTTTATTTTAGGTTCAGAAAGTACTTTTGCAGGTTTGTTAACTAGGTAAATTGCATGTCCCTGGGTTTTAGTGTACAGATAATTTTGTCACCAACATAATCAGTATAAAGCCCAGTAGGTAGTTTCTCAGTTCTCACTCTTTTCCCACCCTCCACCTTTAAATAGGACCCATTGTCTACTCTCCCCTTCTTTGTGTTCACATGGACTCAGTGTTTAGCTCCTACTTATAAGTGAGAACGTTCAGTATTTGCTTTTCTGTTCCTGTGTTAGTTTACTTAGAATAATGGCTTATAGCTCCATCCATGATGTTGCAAAGGCCATGATGTCATTTTTATAGCTGCATAGTATTCCATTGTACATATGTACCACATTTTCTTTATCCATTCCACTGATGGTGGGTCTTTAGGTTGTTTCCATGAGTTTGCTATTGTAAATGGTGCAATGAATATATCAGTGCATGTGTCTTTATGGTGGAACAATTTATATTCCTTTGGGTATATACCCAGTAATGGGATTACTGGGCCGAATGGTAGTTCTATTCTTTTAAATTCTTTGAAAAATGTCCAGACTGCTTTCTACAATGGCTGAACTAGTTTACATTTCCACCAGTAGTGTATAAGCATTAAGCATTCTGTTTTCTCTGCAGCCTTGCTGCCGTCTGTTACTTTTTGACTTTTTAACAATAGCCATTCTGACTGGTGTGAGATTTTATCTCATTGTGGTTTTGATTTGCGTTTCCCTAATGATTACTGATATTAAGGATTTTATATGCTTGTTAGCCATGTTTATATCTTCTATTGAGAATTTTCTATTCATGCCCTTTACCCATTTTTAATGGGGCTGTTTGTTCTTGCTTGTTGATTCTTGCTTAGTTTTGTACACAGTAAAAGATAGGGGTACCGTGTCAACATTCTGTATATGGCTAGCCAGTTATTCCAGTACTATTTATTGAATAGGGAGTTCTTTCCCCATTACTTGTTTATATTGCCTTTGTCAAAGATCGGATGGTTGTAGGTGTGTGGTTTTATTTGTTGGTTCTCTAACTTGTTCCATTTGTCAATGCATCTTTTGTGTGTGTGTGTGTGTACCAACAAAGTTTTTCACATAATTAGAAAAAAAAAAAAAAAGAAAAAAAAATTTAAATATATCTGGAACCAAACAGAGTTCAAATGTCAAAGCAATCCTAAGCAAAAATGAACAAAGCTGGAGGCATCAAACTCCCCCACTTTATACTGCAAGGCTGCAGTAACTAAAACAGCATAGTACTGGGATGACCTACTTCATTAATGAAAACATGGTTGTTTCTGGTTGTCAATCCTTTGGTCAAAATCCTATCGGTTGCATAATTTCAAGGCAGTCTAGTTCTTCAGTATTTCATCAAATATGTGAATACAGCTGCTATGTTCACCTTTATTTTTTTTCATCATTTTACTCAGTTTACACATATTTATTTTGTATCCAGTATGAATAAGACATGAGTTCAAGACTTATGATACAGAAATGAACGTGACCATCCTAACACCTCGCACAATGGAGATGACATTTATCAGATGACACAACTCTGAATTCCTTTATAATGTTGTTTTCCTATATTTGCTTCTGTAAATGCAGGCACATAAATCACACACTCAAAAATATGATTAAATGAAGGCAGACGAAAATGATCACATCTTCTTACTCCTTAAAATAAGGCCTTACTTCATACAGCCTAATGCTCATAATTTCTTAAACTAATATCCTATACACTTAAATAATATTTTGCTTCCCCTACAGCATATAGAAAATATGTGATTATAGAAGCCTTTAGATTGTTCTAGTCATTTTTCTGAGTAAATAATGCTTTCTTATCAAAATATTCCAATTGTGAATATCATTCTTCTATGCTTAATGGTCTTTTCATGGTTAAATTTATATTATCATTCATTTCTTAATTAGATTATTTGCTTTTTTGCAATTGACTTCATTGATTCTGTATATATTCTGATTATTAATCCCTCAGCAGGTGGATAGTTTGCAAATATTTTCTCCCATTTTGTAGATTGGCTCTTCACTCTATTGACTGTTTCCTTTGCTGTGCAGAAGGTTTTTAGCTTGATGCAATCCCATTTATCTACTTTTGATTTTGTTGCCTTTGCTTTTGAGGGTTTATCCATAAAATCTTTGTCCAGATTAATATCCTGAAGTATTTCTTTAATGTTTACTTCTAGTCATTTCATAGTTCTACAACTTATATTTAAATTCTTAATTCATTTTGATTTAATTTTTATATGTGGTAAGAAATATGGGTCTGGTTTCATTCTTCTGCATATGAATATCAAGTTTTCCTGGCACAATTTATTAAATAAACTATTTATGTTCTTATACATGCTCTTGGTGCCTTTGTCAAAATTGAGTTGGCTGTAAATCCATGGATTTTTTTCTGGGTTTTCTATTCTGTTTTGTTGGTTGGTTTGTTTGTTTATTTATTTATTTATTTATTTATTTATTTATTTATTGAGACAGAGTTTCACTCTTGTTGCCCAGGCTGGAGTGCAATGGTATGATCACTGCAACCTCTGCCTCCGGGGTTCAAGTGATTCCCCAGCCTCAGCCTCCGGAGAAGCTGGGATGACAGGCACTCACCACCATGCCCGGTTAATTTTTGTTTGTTTGTTTGTTTGTTTGTTTAGTAGAGACAGGGTTTTATCATATTGTCCGGGCTGGTCTCAAACTCCTGACCTCAGATGTATGCATTTATTTTTATGCCGGTACCATGCTACTTCGGATTACTGTAGCTTTATAGTATATTTTGAATTGAGGTAGTATGATGCCTCCACCTTTGTTCTTTTGCTGAGGATTGCTTTGGTTATTTGTGGTGTTTTGTGGTTCCATGCAAATTATGGATTTTTTTCTATTTCTGTGAAGAGTCATCGGGATTTTTATTGGGATTACACTAAAGCTAAAGGATACTTTGGGTAATATGATCACTTTAACACTATTAATTATTCCAATCTATAAGTATGGGATATCTTTACATTTGTTCGTGTCGTCTTCAATTTCTTTCACTAGTGTTTTTTAGTTTTTCTTATAGAAATCTCACTTCCTTGGTTAAATTTATTTCCAAAGTATTTTTGGGGCTATTGTAAATAGATACGCTTTCTTTATTTTTTTTTTCAGATTGTTTGCTATTGGTGTAAACAAATGCCAGTGATTTTTGTATGTTGATTTTGTATTCTGAAACTTTACTGGATTGTTTTAACAATTTTTTGATGGTCTTTCAGCTTTTCTAAATATAGAAGTATGTCATCTGCAAACAAGGATAATTTGACTTTTTCCTTTCCAGTGTGGATTCCCTTTACTTTTTTCTCTTTCCCGATTTCTCTGGCCAGGAATTCCAATACTATTTTGAATAAAAGTGGTAAAAGTAGGCACCCTTGTCTTATTCCAGATTATGAGAAAAGATATTTATTTTTTCTTATTTGGTATAATGTGAGCTTCTGTTTGTTTTAAATAATCTTTATTATTTCGAAGTGTTTTACCTATACCTAATTGTTCAGAGTTTTTAGCATGAAGAAATGTTGACTTTTATAGAATGCTTTGCATCTATTGAAATAATCATGCCGCTTTTGTTGATTCCCTTAATTATGTATCATGCTTATTGATTTGAGTATGTGGATTCATCCTTCTGATAAATCCCACTTGGTGATGATGAATGATCTTTTTAATGTGTTGTTGAATCTGGTTTGCTAATATTTTTTGAGGCTTATTGCTTACCTTTGTCAGTAATATTGAACTGTAGTTTTCTGTGTGTTTGTGTGCGTGCATGTGTGTGTGTGTGTGTCCTTGTCTAGATTTGGTATCCTGGTAATACTAGCCTCATAAAGTAAGTTTGGTGGTATCGTTTCCTCTTCAGTTTTTTGTAATAGTTTGAGTAAAATTGGTATGATATATTCTTTAAATATTTGGCAAAATTCAACAATGAACATTTTCCAAAAGAAGACTGTTATTGTCTGGCTGTGTCCCCACCCCAATCACATCTTGAATTGTGGCTCCCATCATCCCTACATGTCATGGGAGGAACTCAGTGAGAAGTAATTGAATCATTAGGGCAGTTACTATCATGCTGGTCTCATGATAGTAACTGAGTTCACATGAGATCTGATGGTTTTACAAGAGGCTTTCCCTGCTTTGCTCAGCACTTTTCCTTCCTGCCACCATGTGGTTTGGTTTCCTGCCACATGTTTGTTTCCTCTTCCGCCATGTTTGTTAGTTTACTGAGGCATCCCCAGCCATGCAGAACTGTGCCTTAATTAAACCTCTTTTCTTTATAAGTTATCTAGTCTTGGGCAGTACTTTATAGCAGCATGAGAATAGATAAATATAGTAAATTGATACTGGATAGTGTAGCACCACTACAAGGATACCAAAAATGTGAAAGTGACTTTGGAACTGAGTAAAAGGCAGAAGTTTGGAATAGTTTGGAGGACCCAGAAATAGACAGAAAAATGTGGGAAAGTTTGAAACCTCCTAGAGACTTGGAATGCCCAAAAGACAGGAAGATGTGGAAACATTTAGAACTTCCTAGAGACCCGTTTAATGGCGTCAACCAAAATGCTGATAGTGATATGGACAATGAAGTCCAGGTTGAGGTGGTTTCAGATAGAGATGAGGAACTTCTTGGGAACAAGAGTAAAGGTCACTCTTGCTATCCAATAGAGTGGCAGCATTTTGCCCCATCTGTAGAGATCTTTGGAACTTTGAAATTGAGAGAGATGATTTAGGGTATCTGGTGGAGTAAATTTTTAAGCAGCAAAGCATTCAAGAGGAAGCAGAGCATAAAAGTTTGAAAAATTTGCAGCCAGATGATGGGATGGAAAAAAAAAAAAACCCATGTTCTGGGGAGAAATTCAAGACAGTTGCAGAAATTTGCATAAGTAAAGGGGATCCAAATATTAATTACAAAGACAGCGGGGTAAATGTCTTCAGGGCATGTCAGAGGCCTTCAGGGAAGCCCCTCCCATCACAGGCCCAGAGGCCAAATGGAAAAAAAACGGTTTTATGATCTTGGCCCAGGGCTCTCCCGCTCTATGCAGCTTCCTGACTCCTGATATATTGCCCTGTGTCCCAGCTGCTTCAGCTCCAGCCGTGGATATAAGGGGCCAGCTCAGGTCATGGCTTCAGAGGGCGCAAGCCCCAAGCCATGGCAGCTTCTATGTGGTATTGAGCCTGCTGGTGCGCAGAAGTCAAGAATTGAGGTTTGGGAATCTCCACCTAGATTTCAGATAATGTATGGAATTGCCTGGATGTCTAGGCTGCAGTCTGCTGCAAGGGTGGAGCCCTCATGGAGAACCTCTGCTAGGGCAGTGCAGAAGGGAAATGTGGAGTTGGAGCCCCCACACAGTGTCCCATCTGAGACAATGCCTAGTGGAGCTATGAGAAGAGGGCCACCATTCTCCAGGCCCCAGAATAGTAGATCCTTCTACAGCTTGCACCATGCACCTGGAAAAGCTACAGACACAAAACACCAACCTGTGAAAGCAGCTAGGAGGTGGCTACATCCTGCAAAGACACAAGGGTGGAGCTGCCCAAGGCCCCGGGAGCTCACCTCTTGTATCAGTGTGCCCATGTGAGGCATGAAGTCAAATGAGATCATTTTGGAACTCTAAGGTTTAATGACTGCCCTATTGGATTTTGTACTTGCATGGGATATGTAGGCCCTTTGTTTTGGCCAATTTCTCTCATTTCGAATGGGTATATTTACCCAATACCTGTACCCCCATATAGGAAGTAACTAAATTGTTCTTGATTTTACAGGGTCGTAAGTGGAACAGACTTGCCTTGTCTCAGATGAGACTTTGGTTATGGACTTTTGGGTTAATGCTGGAATCTGTTAAGACTATGTGGGACTGTTGGAAGGTCATGATTGTGTTTTGAAGTATGAGGACAAGAGATTTGGGAGGGGCTGGGGTGGAATAATATGGTTTGGTTGTGCGTCCACCCAAATCTCATCTTGAGTTGTAGTTCTCATAATCCCTGTGTATCATAGGAGTGACCCAAAGGGAGGTAATTGAATCATCGGGGCAGTTACTCTCATGTTGTTCTAGTATAGTGAGTGAATTCTCACGAAATCTGATGATTTTATAAAGGGCTTGTCCCCATTTGCTTGCCACTTCTCCTTCCTGCTGCCATGTGAAGAAGGAGATGTTTGCTTCCCCTTCTACCATGAATTTGTTTCCTGAGGCCTCCCCAGCCATGTAGAACTGTGAGTAAATTAAACCCTTTTCTTTTTTAAATTACTCAGTCTCAAGCAGTTCTTTATAGCAGCGTGAGAACAGACTAATACAAAGACATACAAATCACTGACAGGTACATTAAAAAAATGTTCAACATTCCTAATTATCCAGTAAATGCAAATCAAAACTACAATGTGATATCATCTCACCTTAGCTTAGATAGTTATTATCAAAAAATCAAAAAATAACAAATGTTGGCAAAGATACAGAGAAAGGGGAACACTAGTACGCTGTGTATGGGAATGTAAATCAGTATAACCACTTTGAAAACCTCTATGTGGTTTCATTAAAATACTAAAAATAGATTTACCATACAGTTCAGCAATTTGTCTGATGGGTTTATAGTCAAAAGAAAGGAAATCAATATACAGAAGAGCTATCTGCACTCCCATGTAATTGCCACACTATTCATAGTAGCCAAAATAAGGAATCAACCTGTGTTCATCAGTGGATAAAACAATGAAGAAAATGTGGCACATATACACAATGGAATAATATTCAGCCACAAAAAAAATGACATCATGCCATTTGCAGAAAAACATATGAACTGGAGGACATTCTGTCACATGAAATAAGCCAGGCACAGAAAGACAATATTGCATGTTCTCGCTTATATGTGGGAGTTAGACAAAGTTTATTTATTAGAAGTAGAGACTTAATTGGTAGTTATCAGAAGTTAGAAAGGGTGGGAGATTAGGAGAAATGAAGAAAGGTTGTTCAATAGGCACAAATATACAGTTACATAGAAGGATTACATTTTAATGTTCTTTAGCACTGTAAGGTCACTATAGTTAACAATAATTTATTATATATTTCAAAATAGCTGAAAAAATTATTTGGAATGCCTCTAATACAAATAAATAATAAATATTTGGGGTGATGGATATGCCAATTACTCTGATTTAATCACCACACCTTGTACACGTGTATCAGTATAACAAATGTATCCCATAGATATGTACAATTATTACATATCAATAAAATTTTATCATTCTCATTCAATTCTGAAGATTATTACTGTGCTTTTTGGATTAGAAAACAGACTTGAGCAAATATCATTTTTTTCTCATAAATTAGTTGGCAAACCAAGTAGTGTTTTTTCTTTCTTTTCTCAATAAAAACCTACCATGTATTAGGTACTATAGTACTTCCATCATCAGCAATGGTGAACCAAAGAAACATAACACCTGCCTTCTTAGAGCTTGCTTTCTAGTGAATAATGCAAATTATTTAAATCATAGATAATTATATAAGAATAATGGTAACTTCTGTGATGAAAACTAACATGATAGTGATGGAGCATAGGGTAAAAATGTCTACTTAGACTCCTTAGGTCGCTTCTCAGAGCAAGAAATCTAAGGTAGTAGTTATAAAGAGTGGAGGTAAAAAGTGATCCAGTAAGATGAGGTTTATTGTTGCATCTGAGGCATGAAAAACTGTTGCCTTTGAGGGACTGAAATGAAGTATGTCTAAAGAACAGAGTAGGAAGAGATAAAAATGAAGAAGCAGGTAAGAGCTATATTTTGCCTGTTCTACCTGATATTATTCAAAGTTAGGGCTTTCCAGTTTCCCTTGATGCTTTTCTCTCAGTTCCTATCCTTCTCCTTTTATTTTTAAATTTTCTGAATTAAGACACTGGATATTGATGAATCTCTCTCTCTCTCTCTGCCCCCCCTCCCCGCTCCCTCCCTCTCTCTGTCCCATCTATCAATTGTGAAAAGAGAATAAATCTTGAAACCACAAAACCACTAAGCCAAATGGGAAAGTCAAGCTGGGAACTGCTTAGGGCACACCTGCCTCTCATAACATAGCTACGAAGCTAAGAAGCAACACACCGCCTTCACAATTTGCCCACAAGAAATTCCTTGTGGACAAAATACAGACAGAACTCAATCATCCCTCTGAGGCTCACCTGAGACAAATGCATATCTGATTGCTTCCTCTGCCCTGTCTTTTATGTAAAAATGCAGATTCATGGCTGGGCACAGTGGCTCATGCCTGTATTCCCAGCATGTTGTGAGGCCAAGGCGACTGGATCACAAGGTCAGAAGTTCGAGACCAGCCTGACCAACATGGTGAAACCCTGTCTCTACTAAAAATATAAAAATTAGCCAAACGTGGTGGTGTGTGCCTGTAATCCCAGCTACTCAGGAGTCTGAAGCAGGAGAATCTCTTGCACCCTGGAGGTGGAGCTTGTAGTATGCCGAGAACATGCCACTGCACTCCAGCCTGCGCGACAGAGTAAGACACTGTCTCAAAAAAAAAAAAAAATGCAGATTCACTGAGGAAGACTAAATTGTATATTCAGTGGAAGGCTGATCAAGGACTCAAAAGAATGCAACCTTTTGTTCCTTATCTACTTCTAACCTGCAAGTCCCCACTTCAAGTTGTCCCTCCTTACTGGACTAAAACAATGTACATCTTACACATGTTATTTGATGTCACATGCATCCCTAAGACTAAATTGTATATTCAGTGGAAGGCTGATCAAGGACTCAAAAGAATGCAATCTTTTGTTTCTTATCTACTTCTAACCTGCAAGCCCCCACTTCAAGTTGTCCCTCCTTACTGGACCAAAACAATGTACATCTTATACCTGTTATTTGATGTCACATGCATCCCTAAAATGTATAAAAGCAAGTGGTACCCAATTATCTTGGACACATGTCTTCAGGGCCTCCTGAGGCTGTGTCATGGGTGCGTCCTTAACTTTGGCAAGATAAACTTTGTAAATTGACAGAGGCCTGTCTCAGATATTTGGGGTTCACACAATCAATCATCAACCCTAGGTTGTTTCTCTATGATCATGACATATACTTTGAAAATCAGAAACTTTTGCTTTAAACAATTTTCACAGACAAAAGTTCAGTTTCTTATAACTCTTTTATTTCATATAGGATAAAAAATGTCTGAAAAAACAATGGAAAAATTACCCTGGCACCCTGTCATCCAGATTCCTGCCAAAGATCTTTCCCAACTTCCTGTCATTTACTTTTCTCTGTCTCTGTCTCTGTATCTCTGTGTCTTTGCTATGATTGGAGCATTTGCTAAATCTGTTTACTCTCAGAATATTCTAAGATCATACTTTAGGGGAACCAGCATACATGCTGAGTATGATAGTTCTCCAAGTCTGCATTCAGCCACCATTTCAACTGTAAATCAGGAAGCTCACCCATTTAAAAGAGTACCTTGTTCCCAGAGCCAGCTCTCATTTATTTATTCTTCAATATTTCCTCTCTAGAAAGTATAGGTTTATGGAATATTAGAGATTATTATTTATTTTGTAGCTTCCAATAAAGCAGACTTTTCTTTCTTCTACATGCTCTACATTTTCTGTTTATGAATTATTGTGAATCTGTTTCTCAATATTTATGAATGTTGTCTGCCTCATCATAATTTTATACCTCATGATTTTCTCTTGGTATTATACCTCCTAAGTGTATAGATGGACATTACCCAAAACTTAACTTCCTCCTACGTAAGTAGCAACTGGCTCTCATTTACCAAACATACACTTGGCTCTGGCAGAAAAGAAAATTTAACACACTTCTTTTTGCTATTAAAATAGCTTCTTAGCTTCCATATATCTCAGTTAGGTCTGAAATATCACATAAAACTACAGTTCTATGTGGTCTCTTTTTATAATACTTTCAGCTTACTCTCTTAGCAAATTGCCAAGCTCATGAACTCCCTATTTTTCACTGGGTTCTGATAACATCAGATCCTGAGAGTTTGTCTTTAGCCATTTAATCATCTCACAATCTTCTATTTTATTAAAACAGCAGAGGAGGACTACTTCCTTTGTGCATTGTCAAAAAAATCACCTCTAAAAAGTAATAAGATATTTTATTTTTCCAACATTCATCAGGCTACAATATATCCCCTAAATAAATAACTCTGTAAGCTTTGGCAGCTTTACTTAAAGACATGCACTTAGGACTGAAGATCCAAAGAGCCTTAAACAACACTTCTTTCTCTTTCTTTGATGTTTTAACCTGTGAACTGTCAATGGTTCTTTGATCTGTTTCAATTCACAGAGAAAGGAACATAAATAAGAACATACCTAAACTACATGGATTCTGAATTGCATGTCTATGGGGTACCCTAAAATAACATTATAGATATAGATAGATAGATAGATAGATAGATAGATAGATAGATAGATAGACAGATAGATAGATTTCGCTTTAATATACGTGCCATAAACCACCACATTTATCATAGCATTTGCAATTATGTAATGTTGTATATCCCATAGGCATGTGAAATTTGCGGCAAAGTTGAATCTTACTAACCAGTCATCTTACAATTGTATTATGTGCTTTATGACCACAAACCTTTGGACAGAACAGTCATCAAAAATTTGCATGACTAAAGTATATTTTTAAAGCCCACAAACTGATATTGAATCATTTTTGTCAGTGTTTATAAATACATATAATATATGTAAACCTACAGTCAGTGTGTGAAGTTTAAATTTGTGTATATAAGCCTACTTTTAAAAAACAGAATGAATGTGTATAAATTACTCTTGCATTAGGTGATTTAAATAGTAGCAAATTATCCTAACATGAAAGGTAGTGTGTTCGGTTTTAAATGAAAGCATTTGATTTTGTGAGCTGTAGAAACATAAAGTCTTTAGTGCCATTTGTAAACCTGTGCCTCATTGTCTATTTCAGCCTAAAGCAAAGCCAGTATATCCTTGCAGAGAGAAGCTTTGAGAAGTAGCAAACCAGGCTTAATTTACTCCAAGTAACTGGAGGAGAAAAAATGTTGGCTTAGAAAACAAAACTTTCTACTCAGCTCACCGTATGCTTTGGACATAAATTTAACTAAGAATAGACTAAAAATTGGATCTTTTTTTTTTTTTAAACCTCAAACCTTGTTCTCATGCTTGACTTCTCAGAAGTTTTGGAACATGTTTAGCCTGAGTCATGGCCCCTTTAGATGAAAACATTGGTTAGCTAAGAATTGAAATTAAGTTGTCAAATACAGCTAACTAACTCTGCAGAAATTTGGATAAGGAGGAACCTGTCCTTTTCCACTGTGTGTCTTTCACAGAATATCGTGTTTGCATCTGTGTCTGAGAGAAAGCAGAATAATGAACACTCTATCATTGATAGTATTCAATCTGAGTTTGAATGATTGTTTGTTAAGGAGAAGATTCCTTGCACTGGGTGGGAGATTGGGCTGTAAGTGGTAAGAAGAGTTCCTTCTAATTTTAAGATCCTATAAGTCCATGAAACCAATTATAAGCAAAGGAAGTTCAAGGTACATTGAAGTAGGAATATTTCAACAGAATATCAAGTTATGAAATTGTTCTAGTTAACATTTACTCAGAAAAGCATCTGTATAAAGGGAAAGGTGTATCTATTAATAAAATCTCAAGCTGACAAACAAATGTACAACTAATCAATTGACAAATTCTCTTGGACCTACAATTATAATGACAACTTTTTAATGTGTCCCATTATTTTTAATATGCTTTATTGTAATACATTATCATACTTCTTTGCTCCTAATGTTTGTGTTTACTTATTTTGCAGATGTATGTTAATAAATACAAAATAAAATAGAAAGGGTTCTTATTCCAGAAATGGTATAGTAGCTTGTATTAGATTAACTATCCTACAGATAACAATTTAAAAGCTTGAGAAAATACAGAAACAAAAAAGAAAACACAACAGAAACCAATCACCTTTCTAAAGAAACTGGAGACTGGCCAAAAGGAGATTGAGATAGACATGGAAAGGACTTGGCCCATGTAAGAAATTAACTACTTTGAGCAATACTCTTTTTCACAGACTTTTCTTCTGAGGGCACTTTTAGTGCCACATTTAGTATTGCACAAATATCAAGAACTCAAGTAGAAAACTACAGCCTTCTTTCTTTGTGAAGGAGAGCATGGGCTTAAACATTGTCAATGTGGCTGGAGATTTATGGAAAAATCCTGGGAAAGAATCTGACACAGATTGGGAACTCTAAAATCTACATACAATGTACACCCCAAACCTTGACTGAGTCTTGCATTTTGTATATGTTGGGGATACTTGTAAGGACTTACTGGAAAGCATGAGTCAGCTGCAATTCTGAAACTTCTGAGCAGAGATCTAAGCTGTATCCAATGCAGGAGTAACTGAAATGTGAGTTTGAGACTTGTCAAGTTATAGGCAGCTGGTAAACACCTCAGGCTTTCCACTGAGGCTCAATTTTTGGAGTAAAGACTATGTCCAAAATCTAAGGGATTTTCCTTAGATTTTTTTACTAAATTTTTCCAAACATTTTTTAACTAAACGGAAAAGAGTACCAAAACTACTTTATTACCTATTGGAACAAAAAATCAATACACTTCAGAAGAGGGTAAGAAATCTAGATTATCTATAATAGACCATATATAATCTCTACTGCATAACCGAAACTACTTGACATGCAAAGAAGTAGGTAAATATATCTCATAAACAAGAGATATGGACAAAAAGTAGAAAACGACTTAAATTGGTGTATTCATTTTAAGTAGCTGGAAAAAACTTTAATGCAGCTAAGTAAAAATATTTAAGGACTTAAAGAAAATGATAGTCCAAATAAGTGAACAGATGAGAAATCTCAGCAAAAAAAGAAAAACTACCAAAAGGAACCAAACAGAAATTGTTGAACTAAAATAAAATATCTGAAATGGAAAAGTTACTGGAAGGGATAACAGCAAACTGAAAATTGCAATAAATAAAATAGGTTGGTTAGTTTAGTGGCAAATTAGTAGATTTATCCACTCAGAACAGAAAGAATAAACAATTTCTTAAAAAAAGTCCATAGAGGCGTTTTTCTGTTATTACAGAGTATGAAACTGATAAATAAATGTTGTTGATACCAGCTGTAAACTCAAGTTAAAACAAATATATAATATAATAACAAAATGCAGGCAGATTTTAAAGGAAGTTAAAACTTAGAGGAAACAACCAGGTATGCAGTAACATTCCTTCCTTTCTTCCTTCCTTCCTTCCTTCCTTCCTTCCTTCCTTCCTTCCTTCCTTCCTCTCTCTCTCTTTCCTTCTTTTCTTATATTTTCCACTGACAGCAACAACCAAGACAAGGATTTGGGGTAGCTAAAAATGTAAAAATGTAATAGAAAGCCCAGTATGTTTCTGGACAGGGGAGGCTTAACATTTTAAGCTATTAAAGAAGGAGAAAGGAACCAAAAAGGAGAAAGAGAATAGGAGCACAAATATGGTTTTAAGGAGTATCCTGGTTATTTAATGGCCTTTGAACTAAGAATTAACAGGCACATTCAAACAATGTTAGCCACTCACTATAAGCATACTAGAGTTTTCAGTTTGAACACATATCAGTTAATTTTCTACAGAAGACAAATAAAAATAAATACTTCAGAGGAATATAACAGAATTTTCAGTTTTCATTATCTACAGATATAATCTAAAATTACTAAATATGTGCAGATCCAGGAAAATGCCATCTACTGTCAAAGAAAAAGACAATCAACAGATGCCAGCCATGATAATAACCATATGATAGAATTGACAGGCAAGAACTTTAATATAGATATTAAAATGATGATCAAAGTAAAATACATTCATAATTAATGAAAAGAAAATTATCTTAGAAAACAAATATAATTATAACAGAAATCAAATAAATATTTTAAACCTATAAGGTATACGAAAAAATTGATTTAATAGCAGAATGGAAATTTTAGGAAAAAAAGATAACTTAGGAAAGAAATGGAAGAAGACAAATTTAACTCAGCTAAATAAAAGTGAATTAGTTTGTGCTCAAGGGAGACAAGACTCAAATGAAAATTTAGTAAGAAACATTGAAGAAACAGGAAAATAATCAAGATAAAACAGGGAAGAGATTTAAAAAGTCAAAAAATAAATATGAATATGGAACACCTGCATAGAAAAATAATATTCACGCTATTTTGGAATCTTTGATAAAAAACAAAACAATGAAACAGAACTAATATTTAAAACTATAGTGCAAAACAACACTTCAGAAATACAACAAAGTCTGAATATACACATTGAAAGGGCTCACCAGATACTCTGGAAAATTAACTCTGAACAATCAATGCTGAGAACTATAATAATAAAACTGTTACTTTTCAAAGGCAAAAATCTTCAAAGCTTCCAGGAAAAAAGACTGGATGGCAAAAAATTGTATACTAGCATTCCAAGACCAATTTACAGGGTAAACAATAATAGTGAATAATTTTCTAAAGAACTTCAAGAAAATGTGCTCTAAAGATTTTATATACAGCTACATTCTCCCAAATACATTATTTAACCATTTAAAACAGTTTTCAATGCATAAGTAATGCTGAAATTCTACACCTATCAACACTTCTTGAGACATCTACTCGAGGATAGGTGTCATTCAAATCCAATATTGTAGGTTGTTATATTTCTCTCCTCTTTATAAATACAGCAAAAAAACACACAAATTTTATCCTCTATATTGCTTATTGGTTTTCTATTTCATTGATATTTGACTCCAATTTTTTGTCATCTAATCATCCTTCTGTGTATTTAGTCTATTTATGATTTTCTAACTTCTTAATATGGCCTTTTAACTTACTAAATTTCAATGTTCTTACTATCTAACATAAGTTTTAAGGGTATACATTTATCTCAAATATATATATTTTTCAATTTCACAAATGTATATTTAGTTTTATTATCATTCAATTCCAAATAGTATTATTTTTGATTTTCACTATGATCTCTCTTTTAAGCACACATTACTTATGGGTATCTTTAGATTTTTCAAATAAATGGTGATTTCAATTTTTTTTATCCTCTTTAATAATTGTGCTTTGATTATATTATATTTTCAAAAACCATTTTGGATAGTTCATTAAGTATTTATTTATTTGTTGAGAGTCACTATTTGAGAGGTCATATAGCATTCATTAACTACCCAGATTCTGGAGTGAAAATGGTAGATTTAATAGTAATCATGTTCACTTAATAGTTACATACCTTTCAATCATCTCTTCTTTAGATATATATTCTGTAAAATGAATATAGTAGAAATATGGGTTATTTGTGAGAATTAAATGACCTAATATATATACAGACTTCTGAACAGGTTCTGGCCTGTATTAAGAGCTATATAAAATATAGCTAATTAATTAATATCGTAACCAATGCATGTTCCTTTTTGAGAATATGCGAAGTTTAATTTATAATTGTTAAATGCAGATTTCTATACATAATTATCCAGCTTGATAATTATATTTTCCAACTAATCTTTGTTATCACTCTCTGTTTTCTTCTGTTTGATCTCACCGTGTTTGAGAGACATAGGTTTAAATTACCTGTTCTCATGATGGATTTATACAATTTGTCAGGTAACAAATATGCTGCACTAAACTGAAAATTCAGAAATATAGCAAAGTAATTTTGTAAGGTTGATATAACACCATCTTAAGAAGCATCCCATAAGAAATAAAAGGATAGCCCAATGTAATGTAGAATCATAAATGTTAAAATTATGCACTAACAATAGCAAAAGAATATGTTAGGATCTGTGAATCTTAATTTCAATGATGTTTGTCTCATATTATTTTTGCCCTTGTTTAGTCTCTCCATTCATTTGGGGCTGGCTTGACCAATAGAATAAGAAAGAAATTACAGTGTGTTACTGCCAAGGTGAGGTCATAAATGTGCTGCAGTCTTCACCCAGGTTTCATGCATTGCTAGTTTGGGGAGGAAGTCATCCTTTGTATAGTAAGAAGATGCAACAAGTCCTGTGCAAAGGTTCATGAAAAGAGAAAACCATTTGCTAACCTTAATTGCCAGGCCTGTGAATAAACTCCCTTTGAACAGGATCTTCCAGCTCCACACTTCAGATGACTACATCTCTAGTCAACAGCTTTTGAGAGATGCTGAGCCAGAACTACTGAACTTAAATGCTACCAAATTCTGTACTCACAAAAAGCATGAGAAATAATAAAGGATTATTGTTTTTGTAGACTATTGAATTTGTTATGCAGCAATGAATAATGAATACAGATATCTGAAAAAAAATAATACTTCATGTGCAAATGGAGGCAAAAAGAAAATGCAAATATAGCTCAACCTGAGAAAGTTTATTTGTAAACTTACCTAGATTCAATGAGAAAAAATGATATTTTCTGAATTGATTCAGAAAATCCATTTGACAAAATTAAAAATAAATTTCAAATAAAAATATCTTAGTAAATTCATGAAAAAAGAAACATTTTACTTAGTTGATAAGAAAATAATTGTTCAAATTACACTTAAAAATGAAACATTTCTGCCATTCTCATGAGCTACAGAAATGACAAGTTTGGCAAACCAGTCGCTTAGTACTATACAATACTGTATGAGATTTTTGGTTATTAGAGCTGGAAATGGAATGGTGAATAACTGCAAATGGGCACAAGAGATCTTTTAGGGTAAAGGAAATGTTTCAAAATTCAATAATGGTAAGGTTTGCCCAATTTTCTAATTTTACTAAAAAGTATTGAATTGTTTACTTAAAGCAGGTGAATTCCATTTTTTTGTAAGCCATACTACAAAAAGCTGTTAAAAAAATAGAGGACAAAAAATTAAGAAGATGTACTGAGGTCCAAACCAATGTTTAAAACAAATGACAAAAAATCAGAAATGTATAAACATTGTAAAAGAAAAGATAACACTTGATATTTGCAGAAGATAGTATCATCTAAATAGGCTATCCATGAGAACAATGAGAGAGGTCAGCAAGGTCTTTGGCTACAAGACTATCATATAAAACACATTTTCTTCTCTATATGCCATCCTTAACCAGTAAGAAAAAGGAATGAACAAAAGTTTTCAGTCACAATAACTATAAAATAAATGATGATATCTAAAGTGAAATGAGAAGACCAATAAGGAAAAAAGTATGGAAATTTATAGAAGGACACTGAAAAAAAAAAAAAAGAGAGAGAGTAAATGAAGAGGCTTATTAAGAGTCTGGATAGAAGACTCACCATTAAAAAAACTTACTGTATTAATGAAAATAATCTGAATCAAAATTTAAATAAGTGTTTCTATTTTATAAAGCATCATAAGCCAATTCTGAAAGTGACATGAAAGAAGAATTGCACAGGAATTACCAAGATGCTAATAAAAGATGTGATTTCCTGTATAAGTTCGATCATATCAAAAACTATAGAAATTAAAAGAATCCGATGTTATTTTTTTAAATCATATATCAATTGATTCAATAAGACTTCATCTAAAATTTATTATACAGAAATAAATATGTGGGAAATAATGTATATATTAGGATAGTCATTGTTTATATTAGAAAATCACCAAAAATAACTTAGTTAAAAATGACATTAATAGAGATTGAATGGAATACCATGCAGCAGTTAAAACTACTAGTATTCCATAAACATTTAATCTTTGAGACTAGATGGCCATGGTTAAGAGGATACACAATAAATTGGTAAATATAATGGACACTGCATAAGAAAAATATGGCTGAAAATAGTGGAGAGGAGGTAGTGAGAGAAGACTTACATTTCCCAGTGTATGATTTGCAGAAATTTACGATTTATTTTCATTAATTTCTGAAAATTAAATTAAAACTTTATTTTAAAATAGCATGTTATGTATGTCCAAGTTTAGTTATTTGACAATAAAAATAGAGATGCTTTAAAACCTAAAGGCAAATTTAGTGCATTATAATGGCAGTTTTTCATTTGGACCATTTTTAGTGACCATTTTTTCCATTCAAAAGCAGTCAACCTCATGATGACTGGTGAATGATTCTATTTATTATGAAACCAAAAACAAAGACCAAGAGAACTTATACTTCTGAAAATTTTTCTTTTAACTTAGGAGAAATACTCAGATATCTCTGTGACCTAATGGTAAGAAACATAGTTTCTGATTTAAGTTCATTCATATGGTTAGTCACAGGTAAATTGCAGTTTTTCTTTGACAAAAAAAAAAAAAAAGGTTCCTGCAAAATTTAAGAAACTCCTTATTCTTAGTCTAGGTTTGCATTTTCTTAATGTAATTTATGCTTCCAGATATGAAAAGCTACCTTGCATCAGCTTGCATTTAGAAGGATTCTCCTGAAGAAAAACAAAATTTGTATAAAAGTGCATCCTTTGAAATTAATTTGAGTAATCACGGCAACCAGACTTGAGTGACCATGAGACCATGGTATTATTGAAAATGTACCCATAAATAAGTACACTCCAAAACCTAGCTGGCAAGGGGTCATATGCTCATGTAAAAGTGACATCTGAGAAGCTAATTACCAACCAGAGCACTTGGCAGACTTATGATGTTAAGGAAACAAAGATTGGATTTTAGAGTCTATTAAGGTGTAGAAACAAAATAAACAGGCCAGGCCTTTTTTTATTTTTTTATATTTATAAATTTATTTATTTATTTATTTATTTATTTATTTATTTATTGAGACCCCTGAGGGAAGTCTAACACCCTAAAAATCATCACAAATCAGAGAGAGGCCAACATCACAAACATTACAATCTAGCCTCAAATCACCTCAATCCCTGACTTGAGTGGGGTGATCTGCCTTTACACGACTGCCTGCAAGAATAAGAGTCAATCATTTTTGCAGAAACATAAAATATTTGTCACACAATTTTATATACAAATATCTGTAGCAGATAAAAAATTGGCTGGTTTGATCAGAGACAGTATCAATTGATTAAAAATCAAGATAGTGAAAATCGAACGTAGAAACACAACACAGGTAATCAGAAAAGCAGAGTTCTCTGATTCTCTGTCACAGTCTTAAAATAACTGTGATAACAATAAAGAAAGTAGATAATTAGAGAGAAATTTTATTAGAAAATTATCAACTTTAAAATATCTACCACTGAATTACATTAGTGAAAATTAAGAACATAATAGACTTAACGGCAAATTGAAAACAGCGTTAGAAAGGATAAGTGAACTGAAAGAGGTCAGTAGAAAATATCCAGGTCAAGGCATGAAAAGAAGAAAAGACTGAAAGATACAGAAAAGGATGTTGAAAAATATATGGGACATAATAAAAGCATATAATTTGTATTCAGGTTTCAGAAGTGAAATTGGGAAGAAAGAAGAAACAATGTTTGAAGAGATATTGGTCAGAAATTTTAATATAGTAGTAATAAACAACATCCAAAAACAGGGTATTTCCAGAACCACCAGGTGGATAAAATCAAAAAAAAATTACAACTTGGAACATCATAGTAAAACTGTCAAGCAATCAAATATCAAAATGACAACAATCAATAATAAATCTTATAATTATTCAGAAAAAAATCACTATATTTTCTAAACACTTTAAGTATATGAATGTTGGGATATTTATATCCCAACTTGATAATTCATTTAAGACTATAGAGAAGTTACAATTGAGTAATATTATTCTGTCTGTACATTTTCTAAATAAAACCCATTCTGTTTTCATCATACTATACTTCTATTATTTTTCTTTCTTTTAAAAAAATCCCTACATTGTCACAATTTTACAAGCTTAATATGAGTTTATTTCCCAAAATTATCATCCAAGTTACTTGTAAATAACTTTTTCAATACACTTCTTTTTTTTTTTTATTTTTTTCTCACCAATTTGTCCCCTTAGGCTAGATCTTATGAGCGTGTATTAGCTTCCTAACGTTACTGTAACAAATTACCACACATTGGGTGGCTTAAAACAACAAATATTTATTCTCTCACTCTTCTGGAGGCTGGGAGTCTAACACCAATGTATCAGAAGGGTCATTTACTCTCATAAGTCTTTAGGGAAGAATCCTTCATAGCCTCTTCCAGCTTCTGGTAGACCAGGCCTTCCTTGGTTTGTGGCAGCATTACTCCAATCTCTGCCTTTGTCTACACATGGCCTTTACTGTGTGCATGTGTCCAAATGTGTTCTCTCCTTTTTTAAGAGCATTAGGGCCCACCTAATTCAGTATGGCCGCATATTAAATAATTACATCTTCAAATAGGCGATTTCCAAATAATGACACATTTTGAGGTTCTGGCTGGCCATGAAAGTTTAGGGGACATGATTCAAACCATTACAGGGTGTGACCAAACAATTAATTTTATGTGAGTGTAATCTATTTTCACCCATGTATTTCAACACTGAAGATGAATGGATTATGTTTGAAAAATAAATACCTTATCCTAAATCAAAGAGATTGTATAACACAACTTGACACAATCTGTTATAAATTAACTTCATTTTTATTTATTTGAATTGATTATATATTACAATTCCCTGGAAAGTTCTGAATTATTTTCTTTTCAAAAATAGCTAGCTCATATAAACTGGTGGATTTCAGAACCCTTAGGGATAGTTTTTGTAGCACCATAGTACATAATGCAATTATTATATTTATCATCTGTGAATAAAATAAAACCTTGTGAGATAAAGTATACTCATAAGATTAGAGCACAATGAAAGCAAAGTATTGATAAAAGTCACCAAATTGTTGATTCCTTTGGGAGGTTGATGTAGCATTACTGGATTGCTCAGAAGTAGGAAATGTGAGGTCCCACATAGAAATTTAGGGTTCTATGGGGAGAATGTTAGACCCATCAGGAGGAGAACAAATCCTTTAGACAAATGTCAAAACAGGACAAAAGGGCAGTAAGGTACAGAAAGGCAAAATAAAACACATGTGGGATAAAAGGCTCAAACGAGATGTTTAATGCATTAAAAACACATTTCCTTGAGTTCTTCAGGATAACTGTATAATAAAGAACAGCTATTTACCTTTATGCTAGGGGTTCACAAAAGGAGCCTAGAATAGACCTGCTGAGTATTCCTTCATTCCTTACTGATTTGCATTTATCTGAGGAGTCAGTAATTATATATAATGTTATGTTTAAATATGTTGAAAATGTATTTCTTACAACCATATCCTTTGTATCAACCTTGTTAATTATAACAGCAATGTAAGATAATGCTAAAGCACTTCAGTTTTGAATAGTTGATAAGATCTGTATA
Organism: Homo sapiens; assembly: GCF_000001405.40. NCBI lineage: Eukaryota > Metazoa > Chordata > Mammalia > Primates > Hominidae > Homo > Homo sapiens. The sequence goes on along the minus strand of NC_000006.12, from coordinate 94,521,539 downwards.
TGTCAGAGCAGAAAATCAGTAGGCATTCAAAGTAATTTTTGCTTAATTTACTTAAACTATTTCTGATTTCCATTCATAACTGACTGATAGCATACCAAGTAAATCTAAAGAGATGATGAAAGCTGCCTTAGGGGATTATGCTAATATTTTTATTAGGTTGCTTACATATGGTAATTGAAATAATAAATGTCCTAATGCTTATTTTAAAGGTGGTGATTTACTATCAATAACATTCCGTTTCTGAGTATGTAGCAATTAACAAAACAAAAAATAAGGTTGACATGAATTTTCATGTTTACTTCGCCTTATCAAATCAGGAAAAGTGCCTGCAACACTGAGGAAGATGATACTGACAGGTGTCTATCCAACTCTCCCCTTTCCATTTACAGTTCATAAGAAAAATACATTTTTATTTCTGAAAAAGTATCCACCAAATCAAATACTACTTGATTCTTTTTTTTTAACTCCGGCTATTTACACCCAGGTATATTGTTAGTATAAATGCTTTGTGGTTGATGTAATCTCTGACCAAAGTAGACTAATAAAATAATGCAAAGATTACATTTTGATGACAAAGATGTCTTAAAGAACTTTTCTAAGAATTAAATTGTTAAAAGCACTTAAGAGATTTCTGGGAATTGTAATATTACTATTGTTATCCTTAGTCAACTTCTCTTCTAAGATTCACTCTCTGGAATCTGTTATTATTTTAAATTAATATATAATAAAGTATTTGTTACAGAAACAAGAGGATCACATATGATCATATATAGTGAAAATAGTCGATTATACACTACCTCCCCATTTTAAGTGACTGAAACACCAGGACACAACTACTGTTACTCTCATAAGAAAACAACAACAAAATGTTGGATGAAATCCAATCTGATTGATACATTCTGAGTAAAAAAAATTGAATGACTTCAAGTCAAATAAACTACCATCAGTATAAAATTGAAGATGTAGATTCTGGCAAATTTGATTTAACTTTAGTACTTGCAATGGATGTTTCTATTAGAAGACATTTGCTCACCAAAACGCTAACCTCTGAAACTGCAGTCAAATTGGCCTTTGTCTATAGTAGACAGATGTATTCAAGATTAATAAATAATATAAGCAAAGTTTTATTTCCATTGCCTATTAATTGTACAAATAGTATCCAATATAATAGAACAAATAGAGAAAAATAAATTTCAGTGCATGAATGTACTTTTTAAAAATGAATCATGGTTTTTGAAGGATTTCCTCAGTGGCTGAAGATTTAGTTTATGGCTTTGAAGTCATGAATGATAAACAGATGAGTTTTCAAAAAAATCCTAACAGTTAAAAGGAAGGTGAAATATGTAAAACCATTGAGATGGGATCTTTTCCATTCCAGGTACTTGATTAAAAAAAAATCAGGGAGGCTTAAAAGTTTGATTGTCAGCATGATTTCCTCTTCCTGGCTTAAATGAAACTTGCTATTTGTGTTAAGTTCAGTTTCTCTTCCAAAATGTCTATCTACTGGCTTATTCTTCTGCCTTTTGTTCTTAGATTCTGTTGAAGATAATAATTTATCATTTTTTGAATGCAAAGATACATCACCTTTAAATGAAATTAACAATGGACACAAGAAAACCTAACAGCAATCACCACTTAAGAAATGCATTTGTAAATCACTAAATGAATTAAAGCTTTCATTCATTTAATTAAGAAGTCATAGCCTTAACTTATGTTGTTGTGTATCCATTTTGTAAAAGCAAATTTTACTAGTTGCTGTTCTAAATATGCAGTGAAAGGGCTTTCACTCCAAGGTCTTGCTGTTAATATGACAATATATTTCCTTTTCTTGTTTTTCTATAGTGCCCTGTAAAAAAGGAATGCTACATAGCTGTCTGTTGTTTGTAATGTCACCAAACATCTAAGGAAACTTCCCTGGGAGTTGATTTCAATCTTTCTTACCCACTGTAACACCCCATTGCAACAGTCCCTGGCCCCTTGCAACAGGCCACGTACCCCCTTCCAAAATAAAGTCTGCCTTACCATCTTTAAAAAAAGAAAGAAACATATCTGAATTGTTTGTTTTATGATAACATGCATTTTAATGTCATTATATTTTAATTGGAATTTTTTTTTAATGTCACTTAAAAAGAAGTCTAGGCTGGAGAAACATGATTTATGGGAAAGTTAAAATATAATAAATAATTTGAACCAATAAACTACTCTGTATACTCCGTTTAAATTATCACGTAAGAAATTTTGTTGTAAGCAAAATTAATTAGAATTAAGTCAATGAATTTAGTTTTATATTTATAGTATGTAAAATATAATCGAGTCTTTTCATCCTTGATTAAAAATTGCCATTGATGTTTTATCTACTGAGTGTCATACCTCATACATGGTGTTTCAGATAATCACAATCTCACACAGCTTTTTAAGTAAATGTTACTCCCATGTCCACAAATTGAAAGTGGGAGATTTAAGCAATATTTTTATTTATTTATTTATTTATTTATTTTTATTCAACACTGACATTTGATTTTCTGAAGTTTTATCATTTTTACAAAACAAAACAAAACAAAATGAAACAAAAAGCAGGTATCAAAAACAGCAAAGAGTTTATAGAATTTCTGCACCAGTTTGCACATAAGTCAGTGATTACAAAACTGGTGTCCAATGTAAATACTAATCACAAGCTGACTTCCCTCTTGGTCAGGTGGTTTGTTTTAGAGTTACTCGATATTTATAACTTTTTATAAGCACTGGTCATTTTTTGAGAACTGATTTGGTTTGTCCAACAAAGTAAACAATTTTTTGCTATGTGGCAGCTTCTTTTTTAAAAAAAACACTGAGCTAAAACACAGAATGTGTATTTGTTTGGATCTGAACCAAATCTTTTGAGATCCCAATTACCCTGAAGAACACTGAAGACATTTATGGGGCATATTAGCTTTGTTTTTGCTTGCCTCCTGATTATCTGTACTGTGGGTTTAAGTATGCTACTTCCTCTCAGCATCCAATAATCATGGCCTCTCAATTTATTTGTGGTCACCCAAGGTTCAGAGCAAGAAGTCTTGCTCTATACAAATGTATCCATAAAATATCAGAGCTTGTTGGGCATGAACATCAAACTTTTGTTCCAATAATATGGCTCTGTTTGGAAAAAACTGCAAATCAGAAAGAATGATTTGCAGAAAGAAAGAAAAACTATGGTGTAATTTAAACTCTGGGCGGCCTCTGAATGAAATGCTACTTTCTTTAGAAATATAATAGCTGCCTTAGACATTAAGCAATATTTTAAAATCAAAATAGGATTTATGTACCTAGGTATGCCCTCAAAGCCCTTTCCTTTCCTCACCTCCAACACTCTGGGCTAAGCTACTTTTAAAATGTTGATCACCATTCTGGCTTGATCTTGCTAGACAGTTTAGTTAAAAAGATGTATCAAGGATCCTAGTGTCTACTAGGGAAGAAATATTTGTAAACCCTGTAATTCTATATTATAAGTTCTCTAAGAGAAGTCCATATGGGGCATGGTTAATAAACAAAGAAAAATGATCATTTCTTCACGGCTTGGTGTCCCTTTCTTATATGCATCACTGAAATAAGTCTATATATTGATGTACAATGTAATTTTTAAAGTTGTTTTTAATATTCCAACTCTAAAGTAATCTGAATGAGAAAATATATGAACAATCAGCTTTAAACCCACACAGAGACATACTGGAATCAGACAGAAATTTCATGACTACACATTTGAATTTTTAAGAAATTTATTACAATGTGAATTAATGAAAACAGGCTTTCATGTTTCTTTTATGTATAGAGCCTTGAAACCTTGAAAATTGGTTTACTTACACTGAATAAATATGTATTTATTTATTTTATTTTGATTTAAGTTCTGGGATACATGTGCAGAATGTGCAGGTTTGTTACATAGGTATACGTGTGCCATGGTGGCTTGCTGCCCACCTGTCCTCTAAGTTCCCTCCCCTCACCCCTTACCCCCCAACAGGCTCTGATATGTGTTGTTCCCCTCTCTGTGTCCATGTGTTCTCAATGTTCAACTCCCACTTATGAGTGAGAACATGTGGTGTTTGGTTTTCTGTTCTTGTGTTAGTTTGCTGAGGATGATGGCATCCACTTTCATCCATGTCCCTTCAAAGGACATGGTCTCATTCCTTTTTATTTTATAGTATTCCATGGTGTATATATACCACATTTTCTTTATCCAGTATATCATTCATTGAAATTTGGATTGGTTTCATGACTTTGCTATTGTAAATAGTGCTGCAATAAACAAACATTTGCATGTGTCTTTGTAGTAGAATGATTTATATTCCTTTTGGTATATACCCAGTTATGGGATTGCTGGGTCAAATGGTATTTCTGGTTCTATATTCTTGAGGAATTGCCACAGTGTCTTCCCCAATGGTTGAACTAATTTACATTCCCGTTAACATTGCAAATGTGTTCCTATTCCTCCACAGCTTCACCAGCATCTATTATTTCTTGACTTTTTAATAATAGTTCTTCTGACTGGCATTAGATGGTATCTCATTGTGGTTCTGATTTGCATTTCTCTAATGATCAGTGATGTTGAGCTTTTTTCCTATGTTTGTTGGCTGTGTAAATGTCTTCTTTTGAGAAGTGTCTGTTCACATCATTTACCCACTTTTTCATGGGATTTTGTTTTTATCTCGTAAATATTTTTAAGTTCCTTGTAAATTCTAGATATTAGACCTTTGTCAGATTGGTAGACTGTAAAAGTTTTTTCCCATTCTGTAGGCTGCCTGTTCACTTTGATGATACTTTCTTTTGCCGTGCAGAAGCTCTTTAGTTTAATTAGATCCCACTAGTCAATTTTGGCTTTTGTTGCAATTGCTTTTGGGGTTTTTGTCATGAAGTCTTCGTGCATGCCTACGTCCTGAGTGGTATTGCCCAGATTTTCTTTTAGGAATTTTATGGTTTTGGGTTTTACATTTAAGTCTTTACTCCATCTTGAATTAATTTTTGTATAAGGTATAAGGAAGGGGTCTAGTTTCAGTTTTCTGTATATGGCTAGCCAGTTTTCCCAGCACTATTTATTGAATAGGAGATCCATTTTCCTTTGCTTGTTTTTGCCAGGTTTGTCAAAGATCAGATGGTTGTAGATGTGTGGTGTTATTTCTGAGGTCTCTGTTCTGTTCTATTGGTCTGTATGTCTGTTTTGGTACTAGTACCATGCTGTTTTGGTTACTGTAGCCTTGTGGTATAGTTTGAAGTCAGGTAGCATGATGCCTCCAGCTTTGTTCTTTTTGCTTATGATTGTCTTGGCTATACAGGGTCTTCTTTGATTCCATATGAAATTTAAAGTAGTCTTTTCTAATTCTGTAAAGAATGTCAATGGTAGTTGGATGGGAATAGCATTGAATCTATAAACTACTTTGGGCAGTATGGACATTTTTACAATATTGATTCTTCCTATCCATGAGGATGGAATGTTTTTCCATTTGTTTGTGTCCTCTCTTATTTCCTTGAGCAATCGTTTGCAGTTTTCCTTGAAGAGTTCCTTCACTTCCTTTGTTAGCTGTATTCCTAGGTATTTTATTCTCTTTATAGCAAATGTGAATGGGAATTCATTCATGATTTGGCTATTTGTCTGTTGCTTGTGTAAAGGAATGCTTTGATTTTTGCACATTGATTTTGTATCCTGAGACTTTGCTGAAGTTGCTTATTAGCTTAAGGAGTTTGGGCTGAGATGACGGGCTTTTCTAAATATAGAATCATATTGTCTGCAAAGAGAGACAATTTGACTTACTCTCTTTTTATTCGAATACCCTTTATTTTTTTCTCTTGCCCGATTGCCCTGGCCAGAACTTCCAATACTATATTGAATAGGAGTGGTGAGGGAGGGAATCCTTGTCTTGTACTGGTTTTCAAAAGTAATGCTTCCAGCTTTTGCCCATTCAGTATGATATTTTATGTGGGTTTGTCATTAATAGCTCTTATTATTTTGAGACATGTTCCATCAATACCTAGTATATTGAGAGTTTTTAACATGAAGGGATTTTAAATTATATCAAAGGCCTTTTCTGAATAGATTGAGATAATGATGTGGTTTTTGTCTTTGGTTCTGTTTATGCGATGGATTACATTTATTGATTTGTGTATGTTGAACCAACCTGGCATCTGGGGGATGAGGCCAACTTGATTGTGGTGAATAAGTTTTTTGATTTGGTGCTGGATTTGGTTTGCCAGTATTTTATTGAGGATTTTTACGTAAACATTCAGCAGGGATATTGGCTTGAAATTTTCTTTTTTTGTTGTGTCTGTGCCAGGTTTTGGTATCAGGATGATGCTGGCTTAATAAAATGAGTTAGGGACGAGTCACTCCTTTTCATTTTTTTTTGGAGTAGTTCAAGAAGGAATGGTACCAGCTCCTCTTTGTACCTCTGGTATAATTTGGCTGTGAATCCATCTATTCCTGGGCTTTTTGTTGTTGTTGTTGATGATAGGCTATTAATTACTGCTCAATTTCAGAACTTGTTAATGGTCCATTCATAGATTCAACTTATTCTTGATTTAGTCTTGAGAGGGTGTATGTGTTTAGGAATTTGTCAATTTCTTCTAGGTTTTCTGGTTTATTTGCATAGAGATGTTTATAACATTCTCTGATGGCAGTTTGTATTTCCATGGGGTCACTAGTGATATCCCCTTTATCATTTTTTATTGTGTCTATTTGATTTTTCCCTTTTCCCCTTTATTATTCTAGCCAGCAGACTATGTTTTGTTATTTTTTTTCACAAAACCACCTCCTGGATTCATTGATTTTTTGGAGAGTTTTTCTGTATCTCCTTCAATTCTTCTCTGATCTTAGTTATTTCTTTTTTCTGCTAGCTTTCGTATTAGTTTGCTCTTGTCTCTCTAGCTCTTTTAATTGTGATGTTAGGCTGTTGATTGGAGATCTTTCTAGCTTTCTGACATGGGCATTTAGTGCTATAAATTTCTGTCTTAACACTGCTTTAGCTGTGTCCCAGAGATCCTCGTACATTGTCTCTTTGTTTTTATTAGTTTCAAATAACTTTTTGATGTCTGCCTTAATTTCATTGTTTACCCAGGAGTCATTCAGAAGCAGGTTGTTCAGTTTCCATGTAATTTTATGGTTTTGAGTGAGTTTCTTCATCCTGAGTTCTAATTTGATTGCACTGTGGTCTGAGAGACTATTTGCTATGAATTCAGTTCTTTTGCATTTGCTTAAGATTCTTTTATGATAAGTGCCATGTGGCACTGAGAAATGCAGTTCTTTTATCACATGTGCCATGTGGCACTGAGAAGAATGTATATTCTCTTGATTTGGGGTGGAGGGTTCTGTAGATATCTATTAGGTTTACTTGGTCCAGAGCTGAGTTCAAGTCCTGAATATCCTTGTTAATTTTCTGTCTCATTGATCTGTCTAATATTGACAGTGGAGTGTTCAAGTCTCGATTATTATTGTGTGGGAGTCTAAGTCTCTTTACAGGTCTCTAAGTACTTGTTTCATGAATCTGGGTGCTCCTGTATTGGGTGCAGTATATTTAGGATAGTTAGTTCTTCTTGTTGAATTGTTCTCTTTACCATTATGTAATGCCCTTGTCTTTTTTGATCTTTGTTGGTTTAAAGTCTGTTTTGTCAGAGACTAGGATTGCAACCCTTGTTTTTCTTTGCTTTCCATTTGCTTGATAAATTTTCCTCCCTCCCTTGATTTTGAGCAGATGTGTGTCTTTGCAGGTGAAATGGGTCTCCTGAATACAGCACACCAATGGATCTTGACTCTATTCAATTTGCCAGTCTGTGTCTTTTAATTGGGGCATTTAGCCTATTTACATTTAAGGTTAGTATTGTTACATGTGAATCTGATCCTTTCATCATGATGTTATCTGGTTATTTTTCACACTAGTTGATGCAGTTTCTTCATAGTGTCATTGGTCTTTATATTTTGGTGTGTCGTTGCAGTGGCTGTTACTGGCTTTTCCTTTCCATATTTAGTGCTTGCTTCCTTCAGAAGCTCTTGCAAGGCAGGCCTGGTGGTGATGAAATTCCTCAGCATTTATTTTTTTCCTCTGATTTTATTTCTGCTTCACTTATGAAGCTTAGTTTGGCTGAATATGAAAATCTGGGTTTAAAATTCTTTTCTTTAAGAATGTTGAATATTGACCCCCAAACTCTTCTGACTTGTAGGGTTCCTTCTGAGAGTTCTGCCCTTAGTATTATGGGCTTCCCTTTGTACATGACCTGGCCTTTCTCTCTGGCTGCCCTTAACATTTTTTCCTTCATTTCGACCTTGGAGAATCTGATGTTCATGTGTCTTGGGGTTGATCTTCTCATGGACTGTCTTAGCGGTGTTCTCTGTATTTCCTGAATTTGCACGCTGGCCTGTCTTGATAGATTGGGAAAGTCCTCCTGGATAATATCCTAAAGTGTGTTTTCCAGCTTGTTTCCATTCTTCCCATCTCCCTCGGATACTCCAATCGATCACAGGTTTGGTCTTTTTATGTAGTCACATATTTCTTGGAGGCTTTGTTTGTTCTTTTTCATTCTTTTTTCTCTAATCTTTTCTGCATGCCTTATTTCAGCAAGATGGTCTTCAAACTCTGATATCCTTTCTTCTGCTTGGTCAGTTCGGCTATTGATACTGTGTGTGCTTCACGAGGTTCCTGTGCTGTTTTTCAGCTCCATCAGGTAATTTATGTTTCTTTCTAAACTGGTTATTCTAGTTAGCAGTTACTATAACCTTTTATTGGAGTTCTTAGCTTCTTTGTGTTGGATTTTAACATGCTCCTTTAGCTCAGCAGAGTTTTTTATTACCCATCTTCTGAAGCCTACTTCTTTTAATTTGTTCATCTCATATTCTGTCCAGTTCTGCACCCTTGCTGGAGAGGCATTGCAATCATCTGGAGGAGAAGGGGCACTCTGGCCTTTTGGATGTTCGGCATTTTTTGGTTGATTCTTTTTCATCTTCCTGAGTTTGTCTAGTTTCGATCTTTCAGGCTGCTGGCCCTTTGATGGGGTTTTTGTTGTTGATGCTGTTGCTGTTGCTTTCTGTTTGTTTGTTTTTCTTTCAATGGTCAGGTCTCTCTTCTGTAGGGCTGCTGCAGTTTTCTGGGGCTTCACATCAGTTCTTCTGGTTCACTCCTGTGCCTGCAGATGTCACTCAAGGAGGCGGGAGAACAGCAAAGATGGGTGCCTGCTCCTTCTTCTGGAATCTCTGACCTTCAGGAACACCAGCCTGATGCGATTAGGGTCACTCCTGTATAGGGTGTCTGCAACCCCTGTTGGAGGGCCTCACCCAGTTGGGTGGCACGGGAAACAGGACACATTTAACGAAGCACCTTGGCTGTCTCTTGGTGGAGGGGGTATGCTTCAGTGGGAGGAAATCCACTTGTCTAGGCTGCCTGGATTCCTTAGAACTACCAGGAGAACACGCTTAAGTCTGCTGGTTCACAGAGACTGCGGAACCCCCTTCCCTCCAGGGGCTCAGGCCCAGGGAGTTCAGGGTTCTGTCCCTGAGCCTATGGCTGGGGAGTTGTTGTAGTTCCTGCAGGGAGCCCCCGCCCAGTGAGGAAGGATGGGTCACGGTCAGGCCTGAAGATGTGCTCGGGCCACAGTCTGCCATACCCGGTGTGTTGGGCTGTGTAGGACAACTATTGGAACCACGTTGTCCAATCTCCCTGGCTCCAGCAGGGGAGCAGGGTGCGGCCTGGAGCTATAGAGATGGATGCCGCCCTTCCCCAGCCCAGGCAGTTATGAGTCCCAGTGTTGGCTGCTGCCCCTTCCCACAAGGAAGGAACTCAAACAGCTTAGAGAGCAGGCAGCGCAGCTGCGGCCCTGGTCGCCCTCCCTCCCCGGAGCTTGACAGGCTTAAGCAGATTCTAGCTAAGAGGCTGTTGAAAATCTGCATGGCTCCAGGGTTGAGACCCTAGGCCCTGGTGGCGTGGGTTGAACAGTTCCACGGAAAAAACAAAAACATGGTTTCCCTGGCTGGGTAGCACTCTCACTCACCGCCTCCCTTGGCGGGGTTTGGGTGGGGGCGGGGAAGCGGGGGCCGGGGGTGGGGCGCGGGGAGGGGCGGGGGGTCGGTGGTGAGGGCTCCCCTGACCGGTGTGCCGCTGCACCACATTGCTCTTCCTTTCTTTCCGTGGATCACGCCAGCCACCTAGTCAGTTCTGATGAGAGAACCTGGATACCTTGGTTGCCAGTGCAGGATCCACACACTAATTATGGTTCTTTTTGATGGGAGCCCCGGATTGCTGCTGCTTCTATTCGGCCATCTTGTCCCCACCCCGGGATGACATCTAGGTGCAAGATCCCAGCCCCACGCCTCATTCTCCACAAGCTCCTCTGACGTAAGGGGCTGCCCAGTCACCCGCTCACACCCATCCCCTTCCTGGCTCAGGGGACAGCTGGCTCCCCGCCTTCTCCGCAGGCCAGCGAGGAGCTCGGAGCCTCCACCTGGGAGTGGGGGTGTAGCTGGCTGGGACCTCGGACCCACGGTGGAGGGAGCAGGGAGTAGGTGAGATGACAGGCCGACAGGTGGCGGGGATTCTGGCCCTAGTACCTCGACTGCCACTGGTGCGGAGCCTGGTGGAGACGGGGCAGGCGGACTGCCCAGGAGGTGAGTTCAGTCCCTCTCTCCTCCTTTCGAGGGGCAGCGATCATCAGGGCCCGCACTGTAGGTATGTCAGAGAAACTTTGCAGGGCGGGGACCTGAATAAATATTTATTAAATTTGAGCGACTAGTATAGAACTTGGCATACAGTAGTTATTCAATAAATGGTTGTGAGAATAATGAAATAATGATGGAATTATTTAAGAAATAGTGTTAATATCCTAACTTACCACTTTCCTAAAGGTTAAATATTATTCAGATTATGTATTTTCAAGAAAGCATTTAATTCTTGGTCACATGAAATCTTTTTTTTTTTTTTTTTTTCAGTTAGGAACATACTTTGCTGAGTGAACTTCCTTCAGATGACCTGTTGGTTTTTGGATAAAATTGTAACAAAACATATTTTTAACACAAATGTCCTAATGTGAGGCAATATGCTAAGTTCTGGGATATAATATTAACAGGACAAATGTAGTCATTGACTATTCAGCAGGAACTCTATAGCATAGAATATGTATTTATTACTGTTATATTCTCAATCAGAGAAAATGGATGAATGCTTTAAAAGTAGCTCTCTGAAACAGAAAATATTAACAGCTTTAGTGAAATGTAAATAACTGCAAACTGCTCATATTTAAATTATAAATATGAAAAGTTTGACACAAAGACACATACATATGAAAACATCACCACCATGAAGATAACAAATACATCTCCTACCTCTTACTCTACCTACCACCTCCTCTCCCAGGCAACTGCTGATTTCTATTAGTAAAGATGTTGTGTTGCATGTTCTAGAGTTGTATAGAAATAGAGTTACACAGTATGCAGTCCTTTTGTTTCTGGCTTTTTTTCCCCCCACCCAGAATATTTATTTTGAGATTCAGTCATAATGTTGCATGTTTAATATTTATTTTATTGCCAAAATAGCATTCCATTGTATTTCTATAACTACAGTTCATGGATCCATTCACCTGTTCGTGGATCCATTCGTGGATCATTTGGGTTGTTTCCACTCTTTGGCTATTACAGGTAAAGCAACTATGTCTGTACCTCTCTTAGATAAATAACTAAAAATGGAATAGCTGGATCATGTGGTAGGTGTAAGTTTAACTTTTTAAGAGTCTGCCAAACTGTTTGCAGTTTGCAAAATGCTCCATAAAAGCAATGGAATGTACCATTTTACATTCTCACCAGATGCATAAGAGAGTTCAGTTCTTTCACATACTCTCCAACACATAATAGGATCAGTCGTTTTTATTTTAGCTGTTCTAACAGATGTGTAGAAGTATCTCATTATGTTTTTAAAATAATTTTTAAAATGATCTCCTGTTCTTCTGTTTATTTTTATCCATGCATATGCATAATGTTTCTTCTCATAATTTTGTTGGTTTTACTTGAGATATAATTAACATACCTTAAGTCTTTCTTTTAAGGTGTAAAACTTTGGGGGTCTTAGTATATTTACAGAAATGTCAACAATCACCACTATCTAATTCCAGAATATTGGCATCATCACAAAATGACACTCTGTACTCATTGAGAGCAACCTCCTATTTCTTGCCTCCTCAAGCCCCTGACAACAAATCTATTTTCTACTCATATGAATGCCTATTCTAGACATATCATATCAAAATAATCTGGCTGAGTGCAGTAGTGCAGGCCTTTAATCCCAGAACTTTGAAAGGTGAAGGCGGGGCCGGGCGCAGTGGCTGACGCTTATAATCCCAGAATTTCGGGAGGCCAAGGTAGGTGGATCACCTGAGGTCAGGAGTTTGAGACCAGCATGGCCAACGTGGCAAAACCCCATCTCTACTAAAAATACACAGTTAGCTGGGCATGGTGGCAGATGCCTGTATTCCCAGATAATTGGGAGGCTAAGGCAGGAGAATCGCTTGAACCCTAGATGTGGAGGTTGCAGTAAGCAGAGATCGTGCCAGTGCACTCCAGCCTGGGCGACAGAGCGAGACTCCATCTCAAAAAAAAGAAAAAGAAAGGTGAGGGTGAGTGGATGGCTTGAGCTCAGGAGTTCAAGATCAGCCTGGGCAACATGGTGAAACCTTATCTCTTCAAAAAATACAAATATTAGCCGGCTGTGATGGCATGCGCCTGTAGTCCCAGCTACTTGGCAGGCTGAGATGGAGGATCGCTTGAGCCAGGGAGGCAGGGTTGCAGTGAGCCGAGATCACACCAGTATACTCCAGCCTGGGTGACAGAGTGAGACCCTGTTTCAAAAATAGTAATAATTATAAATAATAATCGTACAATATGTAATCTTTTGTATCCTTTTTTAAAAATTTATCATAATGTTTTCAAGGTTTATCCATATTGTAGTATGTATCAGTAATGCGTTTACTTTGTTGGCAAAATAATATTTCCTTGTATGGCTGGATCACATATCCATTTGTCAGTTGATGAACATTTGGGTTATTTTTTGCAATTATAAATAATGCTCCTATAAACAATTGTGTACAAGTTTTTCTGTGGCTATAGATTTTTCAATTCTTAGTTCTATATCTAAGAGTAGAATTACTGGATAATATAGAAACCCAATGTTTCACTTAGTAGGGAACTGCCTATGTGTTTTTTAAAATAATGGCATCATTTTACAATCTTAACACTAGTCAGTGAGGGTTTGAATTTTCTTACATTCTTACCAACATTTGTTACTGTCTCTTTTTTGTTTATAACTATTCTAGTAGGTATAAAATAGTATCTCATTATAGCTTTTAATTTACGTTTTTCTATTAACCAATTAAGTTGGTTTCTTTTCAGGTACTTTTTGACCATTTGTATCTCTTCTTGGAAAAATGCCTATTTAAATGTTTTGTCCATTTTTAAGTTGGGTTATATGTCTTTTTTATTGCTAAGTTTTAAAGTTTCTTTATATATTCAGGATCTTGGATATTATTATTTTTATACCTTGTGAATATTTTCTTTCATTCTGTATATAGACTTTTCATTTTCTCAGCAGTGTCCCTTAAAACACAGAAGCTTCATATTTGATCAAGTCCAATTTATTTATTTATTTTTTAGTTAACTTAATCTTTTGGTATGATAGCTAAGAAACTATTGCCTAATCTGAATTCACAATATTTTCACCTATGTTTTTGTTAAGAATTTTATAGTTTTAACATTTACATTTATGTCATTTTAAGTTAACTTATGTATATGATGTGAAGTAGGAGGCTCAATTTCATTCTTTTGCATGTTAATATTTAGCTGTCTAATTACTATTTGTTGAAAAAACTATCATGTCTTTGAATTGTTTTCTCACACTTGTGTAAAATCCATTGACCATAAATATATAGGTTTATTTGTGGATTCTTAATTCTGTCCCTCTGATCGGTATGTGTTTTTTATGAAAATATTAAAGACAATTCTTGTTGATATGAAGTAGCTTTCAAAATTGAGAAATATGAGTCCACCAACTATGTTATTCTTTTTTCAAGATTGTTTTGGCTGTTCAAGATTCCTTGAATATCCAGATAAATCTCAGGATCAGCTTGTCAATGTCTACAAAAATGTCAGTAGGGATTTTGCTAGAAATTGTATTGAACTTGTAAAACAATTTGGGGATTAATACCATTTTAATAATTTCAGGTCTTCCAACCCAAGAACATCAAGTGTCTTCACATTTATTTAGATGTTCCTTAATTTCTTATAATAAAGTTTTATAATGTTAATTCTTGTTTTCCAATCTAGATGTTCTAATTTATTTGTTATTTTAAAATTTATTCTACTTGATGTTCTCTGAACTCCTCTGTGATTTAGTTTCTGTCATTACTTTTGGAAAGTTTTATCTATTATTACTTCAAACAATTTTTCTGCTTCATTCTCTTTTCCTTCTCCTTCTAGGATTTTCCATGGGGCACATTTTATATCATTTTAAATTATTCCACATTTCTTTCTGTTCTCTTTTTTTCTTATTTTTAATTTGTTTTTCTCTTTGCATTATATTTTTATTTTATTTTTTGAGACAGAGTTTCTGTCTCCCAGGCTGGAGTGCAGTAGCGTGATCTTGAGTCACTCCAAACTCTGTCTCCTGAGTTCAAGTGATTCCCTTCCCTCAGTCATCCAACTAGCTGGAATTACAAGGGCACACCACCACACCCAGCTAAATTTTGTATTTTTAGTAGAGATGGGGTTTCGTCATGTTGGCCAGGCTGGTCTCAAACTCCTGACCTCAAGTTATCTGACTGCCTCGGCCTCCCAATATGCTGAGATTACAGGTGTGAGCCACTGCTCCTGGCCTGTCTTTGCATTTTAGTTTGGGAAGTTGGCATGGACCTATCTTCAGAGCCACTGATTCTTTCTATAGCTGTGTTTATTCTACTAAGAGATCAATCTAAGGCATATTCATTTTTGTTATAGTGTTTTTCATTTCTATAATTTATTTTTGATTCTTTGAGTTGTCATTTCTTTGCTTACATTACCCAACTGTTCTTGCATCCTGTATACATTGTCTATTAGCACTTTTAATATATTAAGATCCTTTAATATATCCCCTTCCTGTGTTAGTTCGTTTAGGTTGCTCTAATAGAACATCTGAAGATTGGTAATTTATAAAGAAAAAAATATTTATTTGGCTTATGATTCTGACACCTGGAATGTCCAAGATTGGGCAGCTGCATTTGGTGAGGGCCTCAGAATTCTTCAGTTTATGCTGGAAAATAGAAGGAGAACAGGTGTGTACAAAGAGATAATGAGGCAAGAAAGGATGCAATAAAGAAAGTCTAGGAAGCCCAGCTTGCTCTCAGGTAACTAATCCAGTCCTGCAAGAGAAGAATTCTCTCATGCCCACAATAGAAAATTAGTTTATTCATGAGGAATCCACCCCCATGACTCAAGCATCTCCCACTAGGCCCCACCTCTCAGCACTACCACACTGGGGATAAGATATCAACAAAGTTTTAGTGGGGACAAATCACAGTCAATCCATAGAACTCTCTAATGATTTCAATTTCTATGGCATATATGAGTCTGATCTCTTAGATAGTCTTGTTTTCCTCTTTTTCTGTCCCTTTCCCCCACTTGAAGACCCTGTTTCTTAAGGCTATGACTTAAGATGTTTTGTCTCCTCTGCTCCTTATTACCTTCTCTTGCTTCAGTATTCCCAAATGATTCTTTTGGAATCCTACTTTCTTTTGTCTTAGTTTTGGACTCCTTTGGTAAGACAGAAAGTCTAGAGGGGTTTAAGTTGGGAGGAATATCCTTTGCCCAACTGGGATTAGGTTCTACAAATGCCTTTTCTTGCTGAAGTGAAAACTTTGATATGAAGAAACTTCTGGGTGTATTTCACAATGATTACTCTCCCTCTCCCCTTGCTAGAGATAGAGAGGATATTTCTCAGATTTTAGTCTTGAAAAATTATTGGGGTTCTTGGATGTAAAGCATACAAAACAGAGAGTTCCCCTAAGTCCGTGTAGCCAAGAATCATTTTTGCTCTTATGCTATACCATCCTCAGTCTCAAGCTATTTGTCAATATTCCCACTGCTGGGTTTCTTCCATTTAAGTTCCTATTGATTTAACAAAAGGCTTCTACTCCATGTAAATGAGCCATGTCTTCCCAGATTTGGGGGTGGTGATTTGTCTTGCAACCTCAGTTTCAGATTGGACCAAGAAAAGTTATTGTTATTCAGTTTTTCCAAATTTTTCTCATTTTAGTGATCCGAATGAAGATTCCAAGTTCCTTATAAAGTAGAACAGAAATTGAAAATCCAGCCCATTTCTTTGTATTCATGTTTATTTGACCTTCTTAGACTAGACATCTAAATGTTGGATTGTCCTGTTAGGTACTGTGTTTTTTTTTCCCTCCTTTTATATTCATACTCAATGTTTAAGTGAAATCTTAAAAAAAAAGTTTAAAGTTAAAGGTGTAAGTTTTGAAATCATACACATTAAATGGTATTAGTGCCTCAAGTTTTTAATTTGAGGTAAAATATTAAAATATTATGGTATTAAAGATTCAAGTTTTTAATCTGAGGATTTAATGCCATTTAAATGTGTATAATATCAAAATTTATACCTTTAACTTTAAAATCTCCACTGAAGCCTATACTTATACAGTCAACAACCTCCCATCTACCTTATACACTCTCACATATCTGTGTGGGGGGAGGGTGGGGTTGGTTGTGAAATATATAGAATCACAGTTTAAGAAAATGAAGGAATAAAATGTATGTCAAATATAGGACGACCATAGAGACACTGTCCCTGGAGACATGCCCTCAGTAAATGCCAGTACCTTAAAAATAACTCAACAAATATTTATCAAAATAATAAAAATGATATGCACTGAATTTATGTCTAAATATTTAAATGTATATTTTCATTTATATTAACTTCAAAATATTTGTTAGTTATAAAACTATTTTGAGAGTAGACCTTCATTTCAATTATATTAGAATTTAATTCTTGTTTTTATGTACTATACATATTGTATATATTTATATGATATCTTCTAAATAAAAACATTCAATACCTCAATCTTTCAAGAACACTGTGAAGAAATTTATGTGTAAAACTTTATTTTGCTTTTCTTTGAAAAGTAATTGTTGGGGACATAATAGGATGTTGTATCAAGAATGACAGCTTATTCCTAAGAATCTCTAAGGCTTTAGTTAAAAATAAGGAAAAACAATGATCTATGAGGAAATTAGAGAATGGGAAAATAAAATTTTCAAGCTGCTTCTTTGCAGACTTTTAAAATTCATTTGTTTTAAGTAAACCAATATACATTTTTGGAATACAGCATGTCCCTTTGTTATATTTAGCAAGATGGATTCCTTGCTGTGATAAGTGGAGCAATTGTTAATTTCAGCTCAAAATGGATTCTAACAAAGCAGTAGGTCCTGTTTTCAGTTAAGCTGTTGAAAAGTTATTTAGTGCTATAAATAGTCTAAAATATTATGCTAAATATTATCTTTTTATAAAAAGTTACTGAAATAATTGAAATGACATTTATTGTTTGCTACTATAGTTGGTATGTTGCTGATTTAATCTTCACAGTAACATAGCAATGCAGGGATTACAAGCCCCATGCTACTGAAACAAAAACTGAGTACCACAGAGATCATGACACTCCTGGCATGATGGGTACTATGTGGCAAGCTAAAATTTGACCTGAGTTCTGTGTTATTCTAAAGTCCATGCTCTTTTTATAATATCATGTGCCTCTTATTTAACATTTTAATATATTTATGTTCAATTTCAGCCTAAAAGCATACCTGAATATATAAGTATTAGCATAAATTCAATATTATGATATTAACTAGGACAATCATATAATTTATTGTCCAAATATGGTAATTTTGAAAGTTAAAGTGGTGCTATTAATTGTGCAATGGCAATATGTGTAAACAAGGACTACTCAAATCACATGGGACATGTGTTTACCCTAAAATTAGAAGAACTCTAATGTAATGCATCACAATATAAATTAGAGAGAATATGGTATAGTAGAATAGTCACTATATTAAGTTATTCCTGTTGGTTCTGGCTTTAATAGTTTTTGGTGGTATGAATTTAAGCAAGTCATATACTCTCCATAAAATCAGAGAACCAGATTATTTCTAAGACTGCAATTTTGTGTATACAGATATTATTTATATTCAGTAAAACAACCTTTTATTGATTATTCGTTATGAGGAAGAAACAATGACAAGTGCCATGACATATTAAAATACTTTAGATGTTGAATAATGCTGGAAACGTCTTACTTAGCAGACCTAAACCAATGATCAAAGTATTGGTAGCAATTACAGTTTTACATCAGTGATGACTACTTTGAGTAAATTGGGCTGGAGATAATTTTTTGACAAAACAATAAAGCAAAATGTTGCATGACTTAGTGGTTATAAAACATCAATTTATATTAAGTTGGCTTCAAACTGGAAGAATATTCCTTCAAAGTTCCTATACTGCATGGTTCACAAATTCTAACAGTTTTATTGCAAAACACCTTAAGTCTAAGTTAAATGTTCGAAATATATGATGTTCCAAATACAAAGAAATCACCTTTAAAATGTTTATTTTATTAAATCTTCTTACTATACACATTCCATTTAATAATAAATAGGAAGACTTTATTTCTCAGTCTTAGTAAAACGTGATTTGATTTTATCATGCCAACTATAAAAGTAATTTTCCTAAGAGTCAGATGTTTCTGATAGTTACCCTTTATCATTCAACATCATGTTGAAATAAGCAATTTTTAAAAAGAAAAAATAGGCAATACTATAAGCACGAAGAAGAACTTGTGAATTTTTTTGAGAATGCAAAATATGTCATTTAAATAGGCTTTATAATTGCCTTATAGCTAATAAATTGTTTTTTTAAATTCTACCTAAATTACATTTGTAATCAAACATTTAGAAAGTACCACACATATGGTTTAAATATCACATATACAGCCTCTTGAAATTTGTTTTCAGTATATTGTAATTTGAAAACTCAGAGATCATCTTTTAAAAATGTCTACTCTTCTAATCACAAAGATCTATCTACACTCTACCTGTATCACACAGTTATCAGATGTTGCTGTTCTTTTTTATCCATAAGTAGAGTCCACTTACTTTACAGTTAATGTACAACTTTTCTTTTTCTATAGTCTTTAAGGTACAATTTCACAGATGACAAAAAAAATTTCCAATAATTATGAAATATACCCTGCCAAGATTACAGTATCTTCAGTATCTTAGAAAACAAAATAGATTTCCTAAGTGAAATGTTCATGAAAAGTTTTCTAATAGCAGTCTTTGTTAATATATGATTGGATTTCATATCATCAGGTAGTAGAGAAAATTTTCTCTAAATACAATGGATTTATTCAAGAATAAAAATAAGGATTCTAATCCAGAATGTATAGAATGGCAGGCCACCAGCCCATTTGGTCTGGGAAGTGTAAGGGGAACTTTTATTAGCCAAAAGAGATTTACATAAGCAGCTCAGAAACAGAGTTCATTAGTTCCGGAGGTTCAGAGTCTGAGTTGTCAGTTAGTTGGTGGAGATGCCATTACTAAGCAAGTGTTCTTTTGAGAACATCTTATCTGAATTACTCCAGTTTTAAAGAATGTCTAGTGATAAACTTTATAAAAGCAGAGATGTGCGAAGGGCAGGAACGAGTTTCCTGTGGTGTTTTTTGAAAGTCCTTGAAAACAGTTCTTATCTCAGACATGTAAACATGTCTCAGACATGTAAGCCCTATTTTGTCTGGGCCTGACAAAAGTGACATCATCCTGTAATTTGCAAACTCAGAGATCATCTTTCACAATATAAAATTAAGAAATAGAAACCCTAGCAATGGTGCAACTGTCCTGTTAGATGATGCAAAACCTTTTTTGCATCTCCAAGTTCTCACTTTAATAACATTATTATTATTTGCTTCATCAAGATATAAAAATAACTAATTTCAATAGAGCACTTGTCAATTATGGTTCTATATTGGCTTAGTATACATATCTGTAGAAGTATATTGATACTTTACTTCAGTCATCTACAGTTATGTTTTAGTTCACAACAGACCATAAATACAGTGGTGGTCCCATAAGATTAAAATGGAGCTGAAAAATTCCTATTGTCTAGAGGTAATTGAAGCCATTGTCAAGACATAATATATTCCTCACACATTTGTGGTAATGCTTGTTTAGACAAACCTACTGCACTGCCAATTTTTTTTAAAAGTAAAAAATAAAATAAAATTTTTGAACATAGAAAAACGGTTATAGAATAAGGATATAAAGAAAATAAAATTTTTATAATGCTGTACCATGTGTTTGAGTTTTAATTTGTTATTACAAAAGAATCAAAAATTTAAAAAATTGCAAAGTTTATAAAGGAAAAATGTTACTATAAGCTAAATTTAATTTATTACTGAAGAGTTGATTTATTATTGAAGAAAACATTTTTTTTACATTTAGTGTAGCCTAAATGTACAGTGTAGTCTTCAGCAACATATGGTAATGTTCTAGGACTTCAGTTTCATTCACCACTCACTCCCTGACTCAACCAGAGCAATTTCCAGTCCTGCAAATTTTGTTCATGGTAAGTACTCTACATGGGTATAGCATTTTTTATCATTTATACTGTACTATAACTTTTTTAGGTTTAGATATGTTTAGATACAGCAATATTTATCATTGTGTACAGTTGCCTACAGTATTCAATGCAGTGACATATTGTACAGGATTGTAGCCTAGAAGCAACATGCTAAACGATATACCTTAGATGTGTACTAGGCTATACTATCTAGGTTTGTGTACATAGACCCTATGATGTTTGCACAATGACAAAATTGCATAATGGCATATTTCTCAGAACTTATTCCAATTGGTAAGCAATGCATGATTGTATTTCATATAGCATCTTGTTTTAAAGTCCTCACTATACTAACCAAACAGAGAAGGTTTTTTGTGTATTTTGGTATTTGAAGTAAATAGAAACTATGAGCTTGGAACAGATAAATTAGATTTCTGAGAAGTATAAGCTTCAATCTACATTTGAAATATTCAGATTATATTTCAAAGAAAATGAAGCTTGAAAAGAAATGAGCACTCTGTCAGAAAATGTGTAATTCAAGATGGTGGTCACAACCCAACCAAGTTGCTTTATTCCCTGTAAGCTTTAAAATTTTTATTTCTAATTTGAATATTATACTGTGTTGAAGAATGGAAATCCTCCCCACAGGCTATGAACAAATAGTGTACTGTAATATTAATGTTTATGTCTTGGAAATAGTTGCTGGAATGTGCTTCTTAAAGAAATGGATCTTGAAAGAGAACAAAGATATTGCTCCTCCAGTGAGAGTGAAAAATGGTCCAATTTTTTGAAATAGGTATTGAATTGTTAAAAAGAATGGTAGAATCCAGGGAAATAAAGTAAAAGTGAAAGAACTGTAATTTTTCTACATGATTACATAGGAAAATCTAAGTGTTAAGCTCTGTTAACTTTCAAAAATAGAGCATAAAATCTAAGGGATAAAAGATGGTATTTTTCTTATTTTTGTATGTAACAATACATATACATGAGGGAAAAATAAACATCCAACTTTTTATGAATACCAGTACTCAGTTGGTTCAAAAATGATTCACATACCAGTGGAAAAATATTTCATTCATAATTAAAAGTCAGAATAATAAAAGAAAAACATGTGCCAGTACAATGGCACAGATTGTCATAATTTTGTATTTGACATTTAGATTAACAAAGCACTCTCTGTGAAGCAGATAGAATTTTTATGATCTAAGGTTGTTTCTGATAGGCCAATGTCTGATACTGATCATTCTAAGCCCTTCAAATAATAGGTCAAATTGAAAAAAATATTAAATAAATCCATTAATAAAGAGCTATGCTGCCTATATTGGAATATTTTAGTCATAGGATTTTAAAGCTATTGCTTAGGAAATTAATTATATACATTCATTTACTGTTTTAAATACTTCTATAGTTCTTATTTGTGATATGTTTTTAAAATGCAGTTGTGTTTTATCAAATTCATAAGCAAATGAAGATGCACTTAGTGAAATTATTTTAACACACTCATATTTATATTGGCTTTAAATTATACCTATTGGCTGTAGAGTAATATTGCATTATTTTAAAACATTTTTATGATTTATATATACTGTGTTATATAATGAGATACTGTTTATATAGTTAACATATTCTTTATACTTACCATTAAAAAGATGAAATGTATATTTTATAATCATAAACATTTCGGACAAATAATCATGATTACTGAAATATTTCTGGAATGTCAGAGGTAGATTTTATCAAATAATGGGGCAAAGGCTTTTAGTTTTCAATTTATTTCATAAATATATGCTTTTGGACATACACGAACAAACGATTTCTTCCTTGAGAGTATATAGGCATTAAGTGCTCTCAGAGCTTGACAATGTGAAAATTCTGCCCTGTTTTTGAAAACATGAAGAGTCAAACATTTAAACAATGTAAAATGAGATAACTACTCTTTTCCATTGGAATAATTCCAATGCATACTGTGAGTGAAAGAAGGATAGAAAGTAGGAAAGATATCATCCACATAAAAGGACATATGAGTACCAGCAATTACGTAAATTTTTTTAACACATTTGGTTTAATAACGAAGACTAACTATATCCTAAGCATTTAAGCAGCTACAATCCACGTGTATTAAATTAACTTCAATTTTAAATTAACTTTTTATTGACAAATAATGCAGAAAAAATATATAGAAATTATAGTGTAGAGCTTGATGAACTGTCATAAACTAACCACACCTAAACAACCTCCATTTAGGTTAATAATAAACATTACCAACATCATAGAAGACCCTTGTGCAAGTGCCATTTACTATCCTTTCTCTCCCATGCAAGAGTAACTATCTTCTGGCTTTGAATACTATAGATTCTTATTGCCTGTTTCAGAATTTAAATTAATAGAAACGTAAAGATTATATTAGTCTGCTTTAACCTCTTTCTCTCAACATTTTCTTTGGAAGATTCATCATTTTGTTATATAGAGCAGGAACTCATGCATTTTCATTGAAAAATATCACTATTTTATTGTATGATCATAACAGTATTATCCATTCCATGTTGTTTGAGATTAGTGTTGTTTTTCCCAAAGTTGACTTATTGTGAATTATGCTGACATGATTGTTCTTGTACATTTGTGGTGCACATATGTATATGTTTTCTTTTTTATATGTAGAATGATAAACTTTGTTACATACTGCCAAATGATTGTCCAGGGGAATGGTTCCAATTTACACTCTTACCAGCAGTATATGAGAGTTCAAGTTGGCCATATCCTAGTCAACTCTGAGAATTGTCATTCTTTTTAATTTTAGCCACTTGAACTCTAAAATAATACAATAGTACAGTTTTATTTTGCATTCCCATGATGCTTTCCCCAATGTTGAACAAATTTAATATGTTTATCAGCCATTTGAGTAAACTTAAAAAGTACTTGTTGAAGGTTTTTGCCTGTTTTTCTTTACATAGTTCTGGATAGCAATCGGTTACATACAAAGCAAATATCTCTTACAGCTACTAAAATAAAATTCTTTGGGAAAAATTAGATAAAATATGTTTTATGTAGCTAGATAGACACAGAAACCTATACCTCTCTATATCTCTACCTACTCAGCTACAGCTACAGCTACGTAATTTCCTATTTCTTCTTCCTCTATATTTAATTTTCACAGTGAGTATTTCAATGTAACTATGAAACACCCAAAAATGTTCTCTCTATAGCAAGATTGGGGCTAATAATTCTCACAACAACAGATTTTGTTTTTTTGTTTGATTGTTTTTTGTTTGTTTTTGAGGTGATCGTTAGAAAGCAGCAGTGGATACAATTTCTAGGGTAAAGAATGCAGAGGAAATGCTGACATTTCAAACTTAAGAAACTCCCTATATTAAAGATACTAAGATATGTAAGAAAATATACCTGAGTTGAAATTTTTCTTGTTTTCCATATTAGCATTAGTATTCCTTATATTACATATTATATTATAGTAATTCAATTATGTGGCTGACTGATGTAATACTGCAACCTCTTTGATAAAGTTTTCAATCCTCAGTTGGAACCCCATGGATATTAATCCATTAATTAATAAATGAAATGGTTTTTAATCTAGCTAGATGTAGTTACATTATACATAGCAAAAAAATAAGACTTCAAAAATAAAATATAATGTCATTATTAATTTCCAAACTAACAATACAAATCATCAGTGCATGAGAGAGAGAGATACATTTGGGGGCTGGGAAGGTATTTAGGAACATAGATATAATCTAAATGTTAAAAAATTGAGAGATGATGTCAATGTGGCTTTTTCCCCTCAGAGTATAGCACTGGTGGTTAGTACTGTTATTAGGACCTCACTTATAGCTTAGGGCACTTAAGTAAATGGTCAGAACAACAGTCACCTTTTTCTTTTCTGGAAGGTAATTATTAGCACAACCTCTGTGATCAACATATTGGAGCATATGGTGGCTGGAGGGCTTCATCCTAGTTAGGCTCTGTTGATAAATAGCCTAGGGAATTCACAGTGTCCATGCACAGAAGAAACCATCTTCACTTGTCTAGGACCAGGTTCTGATGCTCATAGCATTATCTTATGGCTGACTGATCACTTTTTTTTTAATATTAAAATATACTTTCAGATACCCCATCAAAATTTGTAAATCATTGGAGTTTCTAAATGAAAGTATTTAAAATTATATATATTTTGCTTTACTTGACCAATACTACTTCCTCATTCACCCTTTGGAAAATGTATTTCTAAAGCACATAAAATTGAGAAATATATTAACATTGTTAGAAAAATACTATTGTGAAAAAATTAGGTGTTTCCAGGACTATAGAAGTAATCATTACTCCCTTCTGGGAATAAAAAACTAATTTTACATTGCTAAGTCAGAAATTCTTAGTGTGTGGTTTCATGCAGTACAAGATATCATTCACAGTCTAGTGCAGCAAGATCTCTGGCATTTTTCTTAGACAGTTATGGCCAAGAAAAATGGTAATGTTGGAAAAATTGTGCTTCCAATCACAATAACCAGGTGACAATATGTACACGCAGGGTTTTAAGCAGTGGGGAATCACACAGAAATTTTTATCCAAAACTCATAGTTTGATGGCTTGGGAAAAGTGGGCTGGATTGCATGCCATTAGCTGTCCTGAGACAGGAGAGAAATCCAACAGTTTATATTTCTGTACACCAAAAGTCTGCTTCACTGAATTATAATTCTCCACCATTCAATTCAGTATAATATTTTTCTAATGTGCTTCTTGACATACACAGACTTCTGTAGTTGGCAAAAAGCAAAGAGGCCTGTGACTGTCACTACAATCTAAAATTTTAAAACATGAATACACCTTATTGTAAAATCGGCACTCACAATTATAAAGCAAAGCCCCTCAGATACATCACCTGGGATTTAACTGTCATCTTGATTGTACAAATGAAGAGACCAGGTTATGCAAGAGAAGGGATCTGCCACTCATTAACCTGCCCATGTCGATGGAAATCCAGTACTAGAACCATACATGTGGTTGCCTAATTCACCATATTTTATTACTCTCATTTCTAAATGTTTTCTTCTAGCCAATGTCTGTATCACAAAGAATGAAAAGGTGCTTGTAGAAATGACAACCGTTCTATATTTGCCCCAAACCTTACCTACATTTTTCAATTATGAAACAAGTAAAAGTTATAATATGTGATCTCTTCTGCACATTATGAAACAAAATAATTTGGAATAGAATAAATGCAAACCACAAAAGCAAAACAAAGCAACCATCACCCCAATGACGCAATTATTGAAAAACAAAGATGTGGGAATAGATTAACTGTTATACCCACTCTGAAAATTAGATGTGAATGAAGAAATAATATATGTGAAATTGGGTAGCTGTAGCTGAATAGGTACAAATACAAAGAAGTATAGATTTACATGTGTCTATGTATCTATATAAAACATATTTTATCTCATTTTTTCCAAAGAATATTATTTTAAGAATATATTATAAACATATGTTTCTAGTTCTTTGGAAAATATACAAGGAATATGTTTTCAGATAATGTTTTATCCAAACTACAATACTGCTATGTTATATACAGTTATTTATAATAAAAATATCTTAGAATGTTAAGTAAAAGACTTCTATTCTCCTTTAATGACATCAGGCAGATTAACACCCCATTGAAACATGGTTTGGGCTTGGTAACAATAAAAATTGGTGTGGTATGGAAAAGGGAAGATCAATGGTTTTGTGAATGCTTTTAGAATGAAAACTCATGTTCAGTAAAGTATATTCATTAATTCATTCAATAAATAGTACTCAATAAATATTTTCAAGCACCCGTTAAGAACAAAGAGTTTCTCTAACTAGTTATATCAATAATAAAAAGAAACAGATTTCTGTCCTCATGAAGCCTACATCTAATCAGGAAACACACGTATTAGAGAGATTTCGGCTCTTATTTTATGAGGCCAATTATATATTTTTGATATATTTCACCTGTTAGTCTTCTGCTATTTTTTTTTTTTTAAATTTGGTATTGAATACATAGGAAATGACAAAAATGTATAGGAAAGCAAAGTAAAAAGGGACAACAGAGCAAACTTTCTTTAGACCCACTTCAATGTTTATATTCTTTGAGCTTATATAACTTGATCTTCATTTTTCAAGCCTAAAATATTATTAGGTTTATAATATTAAAGGTTCCATAACCACTGTGAATACTCATGACGTCATAACTGCTTTCCAGTTTCTGACTGACTTGCTTTCTATAACAGCATGGATTATAGATTTTAAAATATTTAAAATAAAAAATTATTAATTACACAAAATTAGATTCACTTGAACTTATTAAATCAGGTAGATTCTAGCTGACAATAAAAATGATTTTTTGGGGGGCTGCCAAATTCAATAAGAAAAAGATTATAATCCATATTTTTTCTTAAACATTTAAAATGTCATGAACCTATGCAATATAAGCTGATTTTTCACAACTAGTTTTCTTACACTTGTGAGGGGAATATCTAGATTCCATACTTTTAAAATATTAAAGACTGCTTTATGCCTACAAAGAGTGGCTTCTCCATTATTGAGTAAAGAAACACAGTTATGGGAAGTATCTGGATCAAGTTTAACAGAAGAAATATTGTACATTTGAGGTAAAAAGATAAATAATATTTTATTGGGAAACAAACAGGAATTGTAAAGATTTTACTGCTTACACATTTGAGAGAGAAACCTGAGCATTTCTGTATTAACAGCAACAGCAGTGGCAGCAGCAGTGACAGAATTAGCAGTAATGTAACGATAATAAAATCAAATCACTTTCACCCCTAGTTAAATATAAACACCTGGAAATACTAAAAGTATAAAATCAGTGCCTACATTACCTGGTACAAGTAAATTGATATAGATTTAATGTAGTAGATGTCTGTGATTTTTAAATTTGCCGTACTTGAAAACTCTTTAATTTGGGATTGGTGTCCCACTATGATGCCAAAAGATATTGGCTTGGATTAGTTTAATGACAGGTTTTGTGACTGAAAAAAAAAATTGTCTGCTTTGTGCAAGGAGGAAACAACCAGGAAACTGGAAAAATATATTAAACAACAATTTTTAGGCAGTGAAAAATAGAGAACATTGGTCGTAATCATGGAGAGCAGGGAAACAAATGAAGTAAGCCCTAAAATTAACGAGGCTTTCTGCTTAGACTCATTTTCTGGACTGCGAGAAAGAGAGGAAGAATCCAAACAGAGCCCAATGGAATCATTCAATCAAAAAGGTAGAAACTGTTTGAATTAAACAAGCTAGCTACCTATTTATAGGCAGAATACCACAGGACACATAAATAAAGAGAAAGATGTCCACAAAGCTGCAGATAGAGCCTATTGCATCTTTAGACAAAGTCCGTCTGCAGACCAGGCGCGGGGCGGTCTCAGCACTTTGGGAGGCTGAGGTGGGCGGATCACCTGAGGTCAGGAGTTTGAGACCAGCCTGGCCAACGTGGTTAAACCAAGTCTCTACTAAAAATACAAAAATTAGCCCGGCGTGGCGGGGTGTGCCTGTAATCTCAGGCTGAGGGAGGAGAATGGCTTGAACCTGGAGGCGGAGGTTGCAGTGAGCCTAGATCCACCATTGCAATCCAGCCTGGGCAACAAGAGCAACACTCCGTCTCAAAACAAACAAACAAACAAACAAACAAACAGAAAAGAAAGAAAGAAACCCAATTTGCAAATTTATAGAATTAAAATCACTTATCAGAAATCACATGAAAATGGGAGCCATGTCAATTATCCTAAACCAGAGACACCTTGTTAAATTCATGTTGAACATCTTGCTGAATGTAGCAGAATTACCACAGCTTAGGAGTGGAGCTAAATTAATTCTAGATTAAAGGAAGTGTCGGGATCAAGTTTAAAAGAAAAAAATAATTGTACATTTGAGGTAAAAATAAAGAATGTATTGAGAAAAACAAGTATTTAATTTAAAGATTTTACTGGTTACACATTTGAGAGAGAAATATGAACATTTCTCTATTAATAGTACCAGCAGTGATAACAGCAGCAACAGAATTAGCAGTATTGTAATGATAATAAACTCAAATTCGATTTGTTTTTATTCAAGTAGATTAAAGCCTGCTCTAGATGTGCACTATTAAAACTTAACAAAAAACTTCAGAATGAGTAAACTGATCTTTAAATAACTTGATTGCCGGACAAAGCAAAGTTTAAAACTGTTTAATAGAGTAAAACAAAATCCAGCATTCAACAGTGTAAAATTTATAAGCCTAGAATCCAATAAAATACTGCTATATATGCAAGGAAGCAGGAACATTTAATTTATAAATAGGAAATGGAACTGATAGAAACAAACTGAAACATGATGGTTTTAATAGAATTAGCAGGCAAGAATATTAACTCTACTGTTACAAAAATACTCAATATGTAAAGAGATATACAGGAAAGCATGAGCATAATAAGGATAGGAATGAAAGATTTAAAATATCACAAATCAAATGTCAAGAAATAAGAAACACAATATTTGAAATGCAAATTCCTCTTGATTGGATTAATAGAAGATGAGGTACTGCAGAACAAATGATCAGCATACTCAAAAATATGGCAACAGAAACAAATGGAAAAATTAAGGACATCTAGAAAAATAAAACTGAAAAAAATTGCAATACATCTATTGTGTGCAATGCATCAAACATACATCCAATCGGAGACTCACACATATAATCAGAGTTCCAGAATTATGGAGCAGACACAAACAATCCTTAAAAATATAATGGCTATTTTTTAAAAATTTGATGAATATTGTAAATCCACAGATTCAAGAACCTCAGTATACAAGTAGACTAAACTAAGGAAATACCAAGATGCTTCTTAATTGAATTATTTACAGCAGCTGCTAAAAAGAAAAGCAACAAAAGGAAAACAAGAGGTTTACTAGCCGGAGAAACAAATATAAGTATTATCGTAGACATTTTGTCAGGATCTCTGTAAACCAAAAGACAATGTCATCCAAAAATACTGTAAAAACAACAAGAATAACTCTGAATGTAGGACTCTATATTTAATACAAATATCTTTTAAAAGCAAAGTCGAAGGACTTTGGTTTCTGGTTGAGGTGTATAAACAGAAACATAGAAAGTGCATTTTCATCCTTACAGAAATAGTGACAACAGCAAATCACTAGACAGTACAAAATGTACCATTTTTTGAACCCATTTCAGACCTAAGTTTGCAGAGCAAAAACCAATTTGAAATCATTGCAAATTGAAATCTATGATATCTGAAATCTGTGAAATCAATGCAAACCTATAAGGAGAAAATGGTCATGTTTACATGATTATCTGGACACATGCAGCCAAACACTCATGAGAGCTGTTATGGAAATAAAAATTGTTAAAAATTGGTAAAGGCCAAATGTAGACTCCAAGAATATAAAATCCATTAAGGATGCAAATGTGCCCACTTGCAGGGTCTTCCCTTTGGACTTTACTGGAAAATCTCACTAAAAATAATGATGAGAAACTTGAGAAAGCATTTCTTATAGCAAAAGCTAGAGAAAGAGTGACAGTAGCTGCTGCAGGAAAGCATCAAACATTGCTGTTTCTTGTCTCTTATCTCTAATAGAGAATGAAAGTCTTAAATTGGAAGGGAATAACAACAAACAATTTTACTGTTATGCAGGTTGAAGGAAATAGAAACAAATCCCTATCTCTGGGAGCAGAGCAGGAATGAATGCCAGACCCAGAACTACAGCTGCAAGAGAAGCAGGGACAGCGAAAGGCCGCACTCTCAAGACCCAGGGAAAGAATGGCTGCCTAAGAATGAAGCTTAATAACAGTAATAGAGAATGTGCTCTTTCCTCTTCTGCAACAACCAACCAAGCTAATAAAAGTCAAAAATAAGTAGCAGTCTAACATATTCCTGGAAAGAAATTCTCTCTGAGACACAGCAAAAAGGGACGTCCTAAGATGAATGAATAGTAACTGAAAGAATACGTTTGAAAAATGAATCCTCCTTTTATTTTTTTATTTTATATATATATATTTATTACGCTTTAAGTTCTAGGGTACATGTGCACAACGTGCAGTTTTGTTACATGTGTATACATGTGCCATGTTGGTGTGCTGCACCCATTAACTCGTCATTTATATTAGGTATATCTCCTAATGCTATCCCTCCCCCTCTCCCCACCCCACGACAGGCCCTGGTGTGTGATGTTCCCCTTCCTGTGTCCATGTGTTCTCATTGTTCAATTCCCACCTATGAGTGAGAACATGCGGTGTTTGGTTTTTGCGATAGTTTGCTGAGAATGATGGTTTCCAGCTTCATCCATGTCCCTACAAAGGATATGGACTCATCATTTTTTACGGCTGCATAGTATTCCATGGTGTATATGTGCCACATTTTCTTAATCCAGTCTATCATTGTTGGACATTTACTGGCCGTCAAAGAAATGCAAATCAAAACCACAATGAGATATCATCTCACACCAGTTAGAATGGCGATCATTAAAAAGTCAGGAAACAACAGGTGCTGCAGAGAATGTGGAGAAATAGGAACACTTTTACAGTGTTGGTGGGAGTGTAAACTAGTTCAACCATTGTGGAAGACAGTGTGGTGATTCCTCAGCGATCTAGAACTAGAAATACCATTTGACCCAGCCGTCCCATTACTGGGTATATACCCAAAGGAATATAAATCATGCTGCTATAAAGACACATGCACACATATGCTTACTGCGGCACTACTCAAAATAGCAAAGACTTGGAATCCTTCTTTTAAACACAACATATCATGAGTTGAATTTAAAGCCTATGGAGCACTGAGTGTAACCATAGTGACAGCAAAACCCAAATGACCCACCTCAACTTCTAAGAAAATTAGCCCTAAATCTCAATGAAACATCTACCAGAACAAAGGATTTATAGGAATGTCAATTTTAAAGCATAAATATTATTTACTTCAGTATCAGTTATCTACATATTTGTTTTTCAAAATTAATGACAGTCACAAAACTGTAGACCTAAGAATCTCAGAGAACATTCAGCATGAGAAAGGCACACAAACACAATTCTAAGCATGTCATGCTCAAACTGTTAAAAAGCAAAAGGCAAAATAAATAAATAAGTAAATAATAATCTTGAATGCAACCATAGTAAAAGGCATATATTATATACTGAGAAACAAAGAAAATATTTACAGGATATTTCTTGGTAGAAATTATCCAAAATAAAAGCAAATTGAGTGAAATAAAATATGTCAACCAAGAATTTTAAACTCAGTGAATGTACCTTTTTAAAATGAAGGATAAATAAACCCTTTTAAATACAATAAAAATACAGAATTTGTTACTAATAGAATTATACTGTAAAAAATGATAAAGGCAAATTTTCAGTGAGAGCAAGTCTGATACCAAGTAGAAAAATGTGTCTCCACAAAATTTGAAGGACACTAAAAACAGAACAAATAAACTTTAATGTTCTCTTATTTTTAATTGCTCTAAAATAGAACTTTAGGTATATAACTAGAACAGTAGGAATATCATGTTTTTAAAGCATATGTAAAATTAAAATTCATAACATAAATAACCAAGGATAGTAAGAATTGGTCAAATATTGTTGAAGTCCCTTATAATAGAAATCATGTGGCACAATATTGTTTGAATGTGAATGTTAATTAATTAAAAATGTTTATTTTAAACTCTAAAAGTCACAATTTTTAAAGTAAAAGTAATCAGTTAAAGGTTGACATGACATAGAATAATAAAAATTGTACAATTTATTGAAAAAAGCAAAAATAAAAAATAAAATAAGAGATGGAAAAAATAAACAGGAAGATGATAAATATTAATCCTTTTATAAGAAACACATTAAATGAAAATGGTCCAAACACAACAATTAAACAACCAAGATTGTTATTTGAGGAAAAAAGAAAAAAAACACTATTACAGTATATGATATTTATAAGACACTCATTTTACATACAAAAACGTGGACAATATAAAAGGAAACTGATAGAAAAAGTTAGGCTATTAAGAAAAGATGATATAGACTTCAAAACAATAACTATTTTCAGGAACCAAGAATTCTTACATAATGATAAAAGGGTCATTCCTCCAAGAAGTTTTAATAATATTAAATACAAATGCACTTAAAATAGCTTTAAAATACATGAAGCAAAAACTGATATAACAAAAAAAATCAGTAAATCAACAATTCAAATTAAAATTGTCTATTTTTTTCTCATTAAATGATTGAACAGAAAACCAGTAAGAACACAGAATACCTGAACAACATTATTTGCCAATTCAACCTAATTGAGATTTATAGAATGGTCCATCGAACAACAGAGAATACACAATTTTGTCAAAAGTATCTAGAACATTTATCAAGATAGAACATATTCTGGGCCATGAAACAATCTAACAAGTTAAAATAATGGAAATCATAAAAGCATTTTTGTAGATATAATGCAATAAACTAGTAGTACTAATAAGATATTTGTAAAATTCTCAAATATTTCAATATTAGATATCCAACACCCTTCTAAATAATTCACGTTAAAGAAGAAGTCTCAAGGGAAGTCAATCAAAATATGTAGAACTGAATGAAAACCAAAACATAATACGTCACATTTATGAGATAAAGTAGTTTTCAGTGCTCTGAGAATTGCTTAACTTGATAAGTGATATCTACAGAATACATAAAAACATCTTCATATTTAGTGGTGAATGAGTCAATGTTTTTCCTTAAATTAGGAACACGGAAATAACATATTCTTTTTCCACTCCTACTCAGCATTGCCCTGATATACTAGAAGTCTTAGCCAGTTCAACAAGATAAGAAAAATAAATAGAATACAGATTGAAAATAAATTAATAGAAGCATTTATATTAAAGATGATATACTGGCTGCTGTGTAGATATGGATTATAGAGGTGACTATGTAAATTAATATCCATTCAAAAAAAAAAGTACAGCAGTCAACTATTCCTTGTAAAGGAGAACATATAATCTCTCTAGCTATAGAAAACATATTATTTTTCTATAATTTTGCATTGTTTTCCTTATCTTTCCTGACAAAAACCCTATATTGTTCAAGTGTTTACCCCTTTTCATGAAACCCAAGGAAGTTGATTCTAGTCCTGTCAACATAGACCTGATTTGTGTGAGATTACACCCAGAAATTGGTTCAGAAATGAGGCTTTAGCCAAAGAAGCTCTAACAAATAGTTTTCTGGGAGTTCTGTGAGAGTTTTTGCAGGTGATTCTTCCTATTCCTATGCATGTCATCACATGACTGTATCATCTCACTATGAGCCTGAAGCTGACACACAGAGTATATCACAGCCAGGAAATTTGGAGAGAAATGAGTCAGTATTAAAGAATCAAGTCAACCCTAAAGCCTAATTCTGCACTTCCAGTTTTGTGTGCCAATAAATTTCATATTATTTAAAACAGACTGAGTTGAGTTTTATGCTAGCTGATGTGAAAAAAAAATCTTGTTTTAAACAGAAGCAACAAGCAGTAGCAATAATAGGCATTAAATGGCTATTGTAATTGGCCAGGTAAAGGTAATTATGGCTTGGATGAGGAGAGCTGCAGTGAAAATGGACATGGACAGGTTTGGGATATACTTTGGAGGTAATGGAAATGTGTTTTGTGATAATATGAATGTCTGGGGTAGTGCATGGAAGGCAGCACAGATCACTAAAGAACCTGAGGAAAAAGATTTTAAACAATTTGTCTAAAGTCACAAAGCTAGTTATCAACAGAAACAAGACTTAAACCTATAGTAACATATACCAAACACATGCTTTAAATTTACATGTCTATTAGAAAGACCCTTATATTTCCATATAAATAATTCAAAATGAATTATATCTTTCATTTCTTAATATGTACATACAATAAATTTGGTAGGTTTCTTTTTTTAGTTTCTATTATAAAGGAAGATTGCTTACAAACTAGAGACAAGGCAGAATCACTTTGCTCAACCTCTTAATAGTCAACACCAGAATAAAAGCCCAGCTCTGCATAATTATTAAAATCTATGGCTATATGTAAAGTAAGTCAAAGAGTATGTCTTTAGTCCATTCTCTGTTGGTATAACAGAATATCACAGAATGTATAAATAATAATCATTAGAAGTTTATTTGATTCTGGAGTGGAGAAGACCAAGAGCATGGCTCTGGCATCTGCAAAGGGTCATCCCATGGTGGAAGGGCAAAAGGTAGAAGTGAGCAAGCAAAAAAGATAGATAGCACAACACTAAGGGCAGGGTTCTCTTTATAACAACACGCTCTTGTGATAGTTAACCATTCCCATAGTACTGACATTAATCCATTCATCAGGGCTCTGCCTTCTTAACCCAATGACTTCTTATTAGGTCCCATCTGCCAACATTGTTGCAATAGTAATTAAGTTTCCAACATATAAACTTCTATGGGACCTATTCAAACTGTAACAGAGTATTTTACTGAAAATATTCAGGTTTATTGATCAAAGCACTTATCAACCTTGAAATTAAATTGTTTTCTCAATTTTTAAATTTATGTATCTAAACAAAATTGCTCACTAAATTTCTCCTCAGTGCTACTGAAACTTTTAAAAGATGCATGTATCTGGTATTTTGTGAAATGCATATCCATTTAATTCATGTGGATATGAGGATTTCATTTAAACAAAAGAAGGCAAGTATGCCTGTGAACTGATTGTTTGGTTTTCTTTTCTTTTTAAAAGTAAACTCATCGAAGTGGTATGTTTTTATTTCCTACTTTTTTAATATAAACTTTTGGTAAAAGCTAATTTCAGGGAGTACCATTAATGCTTTTCATCTGGAAGTTCAGTAATTGAGATTATATATTGTAGAGTAAAAACATATTTTTTACATTGAAATATTAGTAACTAAAGTTTACAAAAATTTCAAACTGCATCAAAGAAGGAGAACTGAACTGGAACCCTATACCTATTGACTGTGGCCTAAAGCAATTATATAATCACACTAGGCTGTAGTTTTTCATGTTTTAATAAAGGGAAAAAGTATTTTATGTACTTCATCTTATCTTTTCAAAAATAAAGCAAAATTAATTTTTCAAATAAGTATATACATTTCAATATTAGTCCTGAGATAAATATTTTTAAACTTTAAACATTTTATGTAATGTAAAAATGATTTTCCAACACATCAGTTTCTGTGCATCTAGGCTGAGACTGAAACAGCAATAATTAATTTGCTTTTATATTCCTTGATCATATATTTAATTAAGATTAAGGAAGTCTGAGTTGTACATAAAAATATGCTTTCCTTTACTGTATAAAATTAGTAGAAATGAGAAAATTGGATGGCTTAGGGCTCCCTAACTATGAGAATATACAGTCTTTTAGAGACAATATGTGAGCATTCTTACCACTAACCAGAATGGAGTAATAGAGCCACATTTACTGTCCTAACAAAAACAATCAGAAGCAAACATCAAAACAACCCACAATAAATATATAATAAACAATGTATTTGAGGACACTACAAATAAGGCATTAAAGAACCGTTATTTCTGAAAGAATAACTGGAAAAAATTAAAGTGAATTCTATGATTACCTAGTTTATTTCCTTAGGACAGTTTCCAGGAAAATGGGCAGAAACAGAAAGCCCCAGTGGGACACAGAAGGTTTCCCAAAATTAAGAAATGGAGCTGACGTTTTGAGGAGCTGCAGTTTGTAGAACTAAGCAACATAGGAGAACACATGAGAGAAACCTGGAGATGCACAATGGCACTCACAATGGTTCATCAGAATACTGATCTGTTCACATGTATGATGAAACTACTGAAGACCCAGGTAAAACCACCAAATGAGATTAGAAGGAAATTATGTCCATTTCCAACAGCCAGAACACAATTATTAAGTCACAGCGCATTGGATAGAGGATTCAGAAAACAATTAGTTGTATACTGAGCCTGGTCTAAAACTCTGGAAAAAGTCATGAAAGCAAGACTTGAAAGGGTTATTCTTTCCAAGAAAGTTAACATTCTCACAGTGGAAATTTAAAGAATTTGTAAAGGAATACAAAAATATCCAGTACCCAACATAGTAAAATTACTAATGTTGAGGATCCAATAAAAGAGTATCAGAAATATGAAGCTGCTGGAAAATATGATCCATAATTAGGGCAATTTATCAATCAATTGAAACAAAACCAGAATTGACACAGACATTACATTTAGCAGACAAAGATATTAAAAACAGTTATTTAAATATATTGTATGTATTCATAAAGATAAGTAGAGGCATATGAAATATAAAGAAGACCCAAAATAAACTTTCAGAGATGAAAACTACAATGTATAAGGGGAAAAATATACTGGATAGGATTGTCAACTGATTAGATATTATAGAAAAAAAGATTAGTGAACTTGAAGACATAGAAATTGATGCCAAAACTCTAAATAAAATTTAAAAAATGCCTTATGTATGTAGTGTTATCTATCTATCTGTCTATCTATCTATCTAATCTATCATCTGTCTGTATCTATCATCTATCATCTCTATCTATCTATCTATCTAAATGTGTAATACAGCATGACCAAATAGTTCAGTTTAGAAATTCAAGGCTAGCTTAACTTTCAAAAAATAATGAGTGTAATTTAATATATTTTTTAAAAACCAAAAGAAAATAAATATGATAATCTCAATAGATATAGAATAACCATTTAACAGAATGCAACACAAGTAGATTCAGATTAGAAGGGGTTTTACTGCACTGGATAAAGAGCATCTATGAAATCCCACAAATAACATCATACTTGGTAAAATACTGAATGTTTTTCCCCATAGAAAAAGTTCAAGGATATTACTCTTATGACTTCAATTTGACATTAAACTGCATGTTCTAGACATTGAAATCAGGCAAGGGAAAGACATAAAAAGCACTCTGGTTGGAAAGAAAGATGTAAAACTGTCACCTTTCTGAAGAGAATGTGACTGTCTATGTAGGCAATATGACAAAATATACAAATTAAAATCAGTATATAAAAATAAATAGTATTACTGTATTATAACAAAGGAAAATCAGGAGGGGAAATATAGAATAATATTTATAGTACCATCAGAAATATGATATACTTAGAGATAAATCTGACCAAAGATGTAAAAGACATGTTCACACTAAAAACTACAAAAATGATTGAGAGAAACTTAAGAAGACTTGAGTAAATGGGGAGACGTGATTATTTATGTTTCAGAAGATCAAATATTGTTAAGATGTCAGTTCCCCCAAATTTATCTATATATTCAACTTAATCTCAATTGTAATTCCATCAGGTGTTTTGTGAGGATTTCCTAACTGATTCTAAATTTCATTAGGAAGTTCAGATCACCTAGAATACTCCAAAAAATTATAGAAAAATTAAAAAACTAGCAGTACTTGTTTCAAAATGTATTATAAACCTAGAGTAATCAAGATAGTATGGTATTAATGCAAGGATAGAAAAATATCAATGAAACAAAGTAGAGAATCCATGACCAGACCCACACATAGGTGGACAACTGATTTTCAACAAAAGTGCAAAACCAATATGGGGAGAAAAAATATGCATTAAATAAACTTTGATAAATACTGCAAATCTTATACAAAAATTAGTTAAAATTATATCACAAATCTAACCATAAATTCTAAATTATAATTTGTCTTAAAGAAAGTATAGGATAAAAATCTTGTGATTTTAGTTTAGGTAAAAATTTCTTTGATATGACACCAAAACATGATCCATAAAATAATAAATTAATATTTAGACTTCATCAAAATTTAAAATGTTTGGTCTTTGAAAAATACTATTAAAAGAATGAGGTGACAAGCCACAGAACGGTAGAAAATAATTACAAAGCATATACATCAAGTGAACACTAAATTAACACAAACATATGTTTATTTCTAATGGTTTAAAACAGGAAACAACTCAATATCAATCAGCAACTGAAAAGAATAAACTAATTGTGTTATATCTATACAGTAAATTATGACTTGTCAAAAAATTACATATTGATATATTTTGGACATAGTTGATTCTCAAAACTATGCAGAGTGAAAGAATTCAGGCAAAATGAGTATATAATATATGATTGCATTTACGTAACATGCTAGAGGGTACAACTTAATATGCAATGACAGAATACTATCAGTGGTTGTCCGGGGATAAAAGAGCAGGAGGGAGGGATTACAAAGAACGTAAAGAACCTCCAGGCGCTGATATATCTATTTAATGTTTTATTTGGTGAGAGCCTTACAGATGTATACAAATACCAAAATTTATTAAGGTTATTCCTTAAATATGTACCATTTATATATGTATTATGAAAAATATTAAATTTTGAGTGCCTCAATTATATATGCTGGATTGAATATATGCATTTATCTCCACTTTCTACTGAAACATCAATAAAATGAGAGTAAAATACTGAAAAAGAAATCTACTCACCATGAGGATATGGCAGAAGGTTTGGTGATGTAAAACTATTTTTGAAAGGTAGAGAGGAGGGTCTGTTTTTTAAGAGGAAGCTAGACCTTAAGTGCTTGCTGAGAAGAAAATCAGTAAGAAGCTGAAATGCAGTTGCTGCCACAGAAAACCATCCTAAACTGCTCAGGAAACGGAGGCCGTAGAAAAAAGTCCAGAAAGAGTACTGATGCTAGAAACAAGCAAATTGTTTAAAAATGTAAATAGTATAATTAGACCTGACTTTGAAAAGTTAAATCCATCTTACTATCATAAAAATAGGCCTAGAATCCTTCCCCTGCTTAGTACAGAGTTCTGTCTTAGGCACACTTATCCCCACCAAGCAGACATCGGAACTGTTGCTCCTGGGGAAAGGTTTGTCCCCAGAGGAAACATCAGCAGCTTCTGATGCTGGAATATTCTTTTCTTAATAATGTTGAAGAGAAGCCTATCAATTAAAATTTAAGCTTCTCACACAGAAATTCCAATGAGCATTTTACTGCTTCAATCTCAAACAGAAACTGCTCACTATACATTGCTAGATATATGAGGAAAACCTACATAAACAATACAACACGACCATAAAAATAATTAAGAGATTTGTTGTGTATAAGAGAAGAAATTGCACGGTGAAATAACAACAGGATGTTATTTAGGAAAGGATCAAGAGAGATCATGAAAATATTATTGGGAATTAGAATTATCAAAGTCAAAAATCAACAAGTATAACCCAAGTCAAAAATGTCTTAGAATAAAGGAATGCATAAGCTGAGGAAATTGCTGAGGGATGAGATTTTTGAAAGGCAGAGATGGGCAATATTAGAGAAATAATGAGCATAATAGAGGTTTAATTTAGGAGATACCAAATCCATGTGAAAGGAACTCCAAAAACATGCAACAAAGAAAAAGGAGAGGAAGAAAGGAACAAAAATATAGAAAGTTAAGTCTCTGTATTTTTAAAAGGTTCAATGATGAGATACTCAAATATAACACTGTAAATTTTTCGAGCATTAAAAATATTCTCATAAGAAAATAAATGAGTTCACATACAGAAGATTAAAATTCTAATGCCATTAGAATTCTCAAGAATAACCCTATGAGAGTAGAATCCAATAGACGTAATGTCATTTCAATTTTGAAGAATCATGATGTTCATTCAAATATTCTATATGCAACCAAACTATCAATCAAATATGATTTTTTAAAATGTCCCTCCCACGAGCTCCTTCTCAGTAATCTTTTGGAAGGTATGTTCTGTGACCACTGGAAGAAAGAGAAAGATATAAGACCCATGAAATATGGAATCTACAAAAGTGGTCAAGGGAAGACCTCAGAGGATGGTCTGAATTACTCTAATGAAAAAAGCATTCTATCTTGGATCAGAGGAAACAGACCTCTAGAAGGGATCAGTCAAAAGAGCAAGAAAAATTCTTGACAGGTTTGACTGCACTGAGTTGGGTTTTAAATTTCTGTTGAAGAATCATGGGAGAAGAATTATAAAATGACAAAAGTAATCAACATAAAACATTCAATTACTAATCCTAGGAATACCGAAGTGTTGTACAACAGAACCGATGTGTTTATTAAACATTACTTAGATCCTATTGTTAATAATCTTAAGATCTTTAATATTCATCATATCTTTAGTAGTCTTAAGAATGTAAGAAAGACATATTCACTCAACTGGTTCTTGATTACTATTTAATGAATTATTAGATGCTTTTCTTCTATTCTCTGAAAATATTTCTTCATCTCTGAAATTATAATACAATTTTATAACCAATCAATAGCATCTTACGAAGGCCCTTGGCCAGGCATCCTCATGTAGTTGTCCTTGCCAGCACATGAAGGAATATGATTATTAATTTTAGTGGCATGTCTGGGCAACTATAACACCTGCATTTGTCAGGCAATAAACCATTTCATTACCATTTAAGCAAGAAACAAGAGCATCAATTTTTGTCTGAGAACTTTCCACTGACATCTCTTAAGATCAAGAAAATGTCAGGATGTTAGAAGCTTGGAAAAAATTCAAGAGATAACAGCAAGTGGTCTTTTACAATATGCTGCATTTTCAACATTCTTGCAGTACACAGAACAATAATATTGTTTTGGAAAACATAAAGAACATCCCTGTGTTGAAAAGTGATTCCTAAGTCAGATTCTTAATAGGAGGAAATTTTATGAAAGGCTTAATCAATTTTTTAATTTTTCTTCTTCAGTAAGCAAAATTATAATATATGGTATAAATCATTGTCTAAATAAATCTAAAATGGCTCTTTAAATGAGTATAATAAAAATTCTTAATGATAAGAAAACATTGTGTTATAGTTTAATTAGAAGCATTTTATTTTTCTAAGTACAAGCATAAAGTAATGCCACACCTTATAATCAGTGGCAGCTTAGGTTTAAGTGAATCAGTAACACAGTGGAGGAATAGAGATAGGAAGGTTCCATTTCTATTGGTGGGGTGGGAGCAAGACAAAGGGTCTACAACACTCAGCACAACTCCATGGATATTATTCATATTCATATTCATATTCATATATATATATATGTATGTTACTTCTTGGAGTGCAAGACAAAAAACTGTGCAGAATGGCAGCCAACTCAGAGTAAATGAGTCCAAACATTATATTTCTAAGGGAAAAGTCAGAACATAACACCTGAAATCAAAAGGTTAGGAAATTATAATGTAAAGACAGCATTTTGAAATACAAAAGAAATTAACACAAGAAACTTCTAAAATAATTGAACGACATCATTCACAGGCACCAAAAGGTGGAGGCCATTGATCT
The DNA here is from genome assembly GCF_000001405.40 of Homo sapiens. Classification (NCBI taxonomy): domain Eukaryota; kingdom Metazoa; phylum Chordata; class Mammalia; order Primates; family Hominidae; genus Homo; species Homo sapiens. The sequence continues at coordinate 94,479,615 of NC_000006.12, read as the reverse complement.
CTGTTTTTTTAATTGAAAGACTAGTAATTTATTTGTTTTTAATCTAAGAACATAGGGCCCTTTAGTAAAATTTAAAAATAAGAATAAATATAACTAAATAATTTTAATAGGACAAAAGATATTTGAATGTCCATTACGTTGAACAGAATATAGGAAAAGGTAAAACATAAACATCATGTTCATGTGGACTACATCTGTTTTCTATGTTTCTTTTGTGATAATTTAATTTACAAAATTTTATACTGTTCATAAAATGTTTATCTGTGAAATATCAGTATATGGCACTTACACATTAGGTGTACTTCATAACAGTGTTTCCTGAAAGAATAGCATTAAAGTGTTTTACTGCTAATATTGAAGATGATTTTAGACCTTGGTAGCATGCAGAACAAAGGTTTCGGCAAAATTGGGTGAACCAGTATGGAGAATGAGAAGGCAGAAAGGTCGAGGAGATGTGGCACTAGTTGATAAGAGAAAGTCAGAGACAAGGACTGAAAGATGACATTGTTAGGAGATTTCCAGAGAAGGGAGAACAGCTGTGGATTTCCCTATTTTAAAAGCAGAGCATGCTTCAAATGCCCAGAGGTCTCTTACCTACTGTAAGAGAGAGTTGGATGATCACTTTTCCTTTCCTGACAAAATTGGAGGCTGTTCAAGTGATTATCTGCCATCTGTTGTCTACAGCGGTTCAATTGTTGAAGGGTCCTCTAGAAGGGGGGAGAAAGAGCTCATTCTCGATGGAAGTTTGAATGTGCATTCAGAGGTAGTTCAGCTGAGCAAGTGCCCAGCTAATCCCCTTTGCACACAGGGAGAAGGCTGCCACCAACTCTAATTGATTCTGAAATGAATCTGTATAGAAAATTAGAAGGTTTTGGATTCCCATGTGAGCTTCAATAAAGAGCCAGGATGTAAGCCTGACAGCTGAATGGATTCAGAAATGAAAATCTGATAAGCGGCTTAAAACTGTACTTAAGTCCAGAAATGATTTGAATGCTGTTGTTAATGGCACATTGTATGTTGTCACCTAGTTAATTATCTCTGAAGATGAGTTCTTGCAGAGGAGAAGATATGCCATTCTTCCACAGCTTTTCCTCATCACATATTTATTAACAACCACCCCCCACCTCCCCCCAAACTATCATTACTAGAAGGCAGAAAGAAAGGATTAGGCCACTGCAGCTCCTCTGTAGCTGTCAGTTCACTGTGCCAAACTTCAAATATGAACTGTTGCATGTACTGTCACTGACATTTCCTTTTACATCTTCATTTGCAAATGAGGAACTGACATTTGTTGGGCCTTGTATTTGCACACAGTTCCACCACATGAAAAGCAAACACTGTCACTGCTGGCTACTTTGTTTATTCCTTTGCAGATACTATATGGCCTATTTAGAAATTTTCTTCAGAATTTATTTTTACCTAACTGAGATAGATAGTCACAGAGCTACATGTCCTCATATTTTATTCAGGAAGCTGTCTGCAGTTTATGGAGCGTGCACTGCATTTGATAGCTATTTAAAACTGTATTTTTAAAACCGATTTGCACTTTTCTGGTTTATATTCTTTGGGCTTATTTTCTCTAGATAAATTTAGGTTCATTTCATGATTTAAGAGTTCAGGTTTCTCACACATTGATTTTTTTTAATAATAGAAAAATATTTTCTACCAAATGGAAACAAAGAAGTAAATTTAAAAAGCAGAATACATTTTCCAAACATTGTTCTAGGTTTACTAGAGTTTCATCTTTTCAAAACCAGCTTGAAAATGTCAACATACTTGAAGTCATTGAGACAATCATCTATTACTATTAGGATCTTTTTGTGAAACAGATTTATAAGCAACCTCAAAGAGCAGATTTATGCCTGCAGGTGAGCTCAGCTCAGAAAAGTGGAGGCCTATTTGCTAATGTATCATCTAAAGTACTGATTTTTGGCTTAATTTCCAATTAACTAAAAATGCTATGAGTGTAATTTTGAGTTTTCTAAAAACAATGATTCAAAATGTTACCTGTTAGGACAACTTAAGAAGAGAAAAATGGAAAAAACAAAAGAAACATTTCATGGTGATTAGATCATTTTGATTAATACAGAAAAGGCATTTGACAAAATTCAACATCCCTTCACGATAAAACTCTTAAGAAATTAGGTATAGAAGGTATGTACCTCAACACAATAAAGGCCATCTATGACAAACCCACATTTAGAATCATACTGAACAAATAAAGCTGAAACCTTTTTCTCTAAGATCAGGAACAAGACAAGAATGCCCACTTTCACCTCTTCACTCAACATTGCGCTGGAAGTACTGGCAATAATACTTAGAAAAGAGAAAGATAAAAGGCATCTGCATTGGAAAGAAGGAAGTCAAATTGTTCTTGTTTGAAGATTACATGATCTTTTTCTTTTCCTTTTTTTTTTTTTTGAACATGCAGAATTTATTTTCTATGTGATTCAAATTAGAGAAATGGTTTTCACATCAAGCAAATGTCTTTTGCCATAAAACTACTTAAAAATTACTTTAATTTTTTTTTCATTTCCATAGGTTATTGGGGGAACAGGTGATGTTTGGTTACATGAGTAAGTTCTTTAGTGGTGATTTGTGAGATTTTGTTGCACCCATCACCTGAGCAGTATACACTGCACCCTATTTGTAGTCTTTTTCCCCCTCCCTCTCCTACCCTTTCCCTGAAGTTCCCGAAGTCCATTGTATCATTCTTATGCCTTTGCGTCCTCATAGCTTAGCTCCCACATATCAGTGAGAACATACAATCTTTGGTTTTCCATTTCTGAGTTACTTCACTTAAAATAATAGTCTCCAATCTCATCCAAGTTGCTGTGAATGCCATTAATTCATTTCTTTTTATGGCTGAGTATTAATCCATCATATATGTATACCACAGTTTCATTTTCCACTGGTCGATTGATGGGCATTTGGGTTGGTTTCACATTTTTGCAATTGCAAATTGTGCTGCTATAAACGTGTGTGTGCAAGTAACTCTTTTGTAAAATGACTTATTTTCCTCTGTGTAGATACCCAATGGTGGGATTGCTGGATTAAATGATAGTTCTGCTTTTCGTTCTTTAAGGAATCTCCGCACAGCTTTCCACAGTGATTTTTTTTTTTTTGAGACAGGGTCTCAAAAAAGCAAACAGCTGGAGTGCATGGTATGAATACAGGTTACTGCAGACTTCACCTTCTGGGTTCAAGTGATCCTACCACCTCAACCTGCCAAATAGCTGAGACTGCAGGTGTCTGCCATCACACCCAGCTTTTTAATTTTTTGTAAAGAGGAGGTCCAAGCTTGTCTCAAACTCCTGGGCTCAGGCAATATTTTTGTCTTAGCCTCCCATAGTGCTGGGATTACAGGCATGAGCCACCGCATCCAGCCAACATGATTTCATGTATAGAAAATCTAAAAACTCCACCAAAAAACTCTTCGATCTGATAAATAAATTCAGTAAAACTGCAGTATACAAAATCATCATCTGAAAACTAGTAATATTTGTGTATGTTAATAGTGAACTATCTGAAAAAGGAATCAAGAAAACAATTTACAATAACATCCAGAAAATAAGATAACTAGGAATGAACTTCACAAAGGAGGTAAAAGATCTCCATACTGAAAACTGTAAAATATTATGAAAGAAATTAAAGATGATACAAATAAATGGAAAGATATCTTGTATTCATAGATTGAAAAACTTAATATTGTTAAAATGGTCATACCACCCAAAGCAATGTACAGATTTAATGCAGATTGTCTATCAAAATGCCAATGACATTCTTCACAGAAATAAAAAAAGAATCCTAAAACTCATATGAAACCACGAAAGATCCCAGATAGTCAAAGAAATCCTGAGTAAAAAGAATAAGGCCAAATGCATCACATTTTCTGACTTTGAAATACATTACAAAGCTATAATAGCTAAAACAGCATGGTACTGGAAAAAATACACATTGTCAAATGGAACAGAAATAAATTCACACACCTCCAGACAAATGATTTTTGAGAAAGGTTCTAAGAACACACACTGAGGAAAAGATAATCTCTTCAATATGTGCTGCTGGGAAAATTGGATATCCACACGCAGAAGAAAAAAGCTAGGTTCCTACCTCTCCCCATATACAGATATCAACTCAAAATATATTAAATACTTAAATGTGAAAGTTGAAACTGTGAAACTACCAGAAGAAAATACAGGGGAGATGCTTCATGACATTGAGCTCAGCAAGGATTTTCTAAATAAGATCTCAAAAACAAAGGCAACAAAAACAAAAATAGAGAAATTGGATGATATCAAACTAAAAGGGTTTTGCACAGCAAAGGAAAGCAAAGAATAAAGAGTCAACTTACAGAATGGGATGAAATATTTGCAAGCTGACAAGAAGTTAATATCCAGAATTTATAGGGAAATTAAATAACTCAATAGGAAAAACAGAACGACCTGAATAAAAGGTGAGTAAAATATTTTAATAGATATTACTCAAAGAAGACATACAAATAGTTAAGAAGTATGTGAAAAAAAATGTTCAACATCACTAGTCATCAGAGAAATGCAAATCAAAACCACAAATCGTTACCACCTCACTCCAGCTGGAATGTCTATTATCAAAAAAGCAAAAAATAAAATAAATAAATAAATGTGGGTGAGAATGTAGAGAAAAAAGAACACTTACATACTGTTGATGGGAATGTAAATTAGTACAGCCTTTATATAAAACATTATAGAGGTTCCTCAAAAAACTAAAAATAGAACTACCATATGATCCAGCAATCTCACTACTGGGTATATGTCCAAAGGAAACAAAATGAGTACATTGAAGAGATATCTGCACTCCCGTGTTTATTACAGCACTATTCACATTAGCCCAGAAGTGGAATCAATCAAAGTATTCATCAATGGATTAGTAGATTTCTAAAAAATTGTCTTATATACACAATGAAATACTATGCAGCCATGAAAAGAATGAAATCCTGTCATTTGCAATGGCATGGATGTACCTTAAGACATTATACTAAGTGAAATAAGCCTGGCATAGAAAGATAAATACTGCTTGATCTCATTCACATATGAAATCCAAAAAAAGTTGATATCAGAAGTAGAGAGTAGAACAGTGGCTATCAGAGACTGGGGAGGGACTAAGAGAGGGTAGGCTGGGGAGAAGTTGGTCAAAGTTACAAAGTTACAATTAGGTAGAAGGAATAACCTCTGAGTGTTCTGTTACACAGTAGGGTATCTATGGTTAACTGCAAAGTATGTTATTTCATGCATTACAAAATAACTAGAAGATTTTTTAATTGTTCTTACCACAAAAATGATAAACAAATGTGGTGATAGGCTACACTGATTTGATGATACAACATACACATGTATCAAAACATCAAATTCTACCCAATAAATATATATATATAATGTATTAATTTTTTAAAGTATGGTAATTAAAAATCATTACTCTACTTTTATCAGATTTCTAGGGCTGTATTTGTCAGTCTTTATTCCCTGCAACATGTGCCCCACAAATAACATTTCTCTAAGATATTTAACCATAAACTGCATTCCCTTTCCTTATCATCTATATCTGATGCTATTCCATTTTGCATTTCACCAGACCCTACTAAATTACTGTTCTTTGTCTCTAATTTACCCAGAAGACAAGATTTTATAGACAAATTAAATATTATAAATTAGAAATGTAGAGTATTGTATAAAGTCAATGTTCTCTATGCCAAAGATGATACAAGAAAATGACTCACATCTGCCTAGTATCCTAGGAGGTATGTTCCTGGGGGATAGTGAGAGAGAGAGAGAGAGAGAGAGAGATCTTTCAAGTAAAGATCAGCTAATATTAATTGAATAAATAATCTAAACTTCAATCAGTTATTTTTGACTGTTTCTCTTTAACTGTTTCTCTTTCTTATTTTTAACAGTTTCTCTTTAACTGTTTCTCTTTCTCTCATATTGCACTGCTTTTTCGCCTTGCAAAAAATACAACTCATATTACTAAAATATTATTATTAGGTTGATGTTCAAAAATACAAAGGATGGTAAGTAAATGTCAGAGGGAATAAATATCTGCCTACATTTCATGTAAATGACAAAAATCTAAAAATGGTAAGAAAATGTCAGAAGTATAGCAAGTGAAGTTTAATTGAGCTCAGCTCAGAATTGTCTCAACTATTTATTTGAAAACCAAAGGACTATGTTCCAAATTGGTGCAAAAAAAGGAGTACAAACTAGATATGTGGAAAGATGTTTCTTTTTCAGTTCAACTCTTTCGTTGCAATTTATGTGATTTATGCACTGTTTTTCTCATGAGAAAATAAGGAACTTGAAACAAGTCTCATAGAACAAGAATGTCCATGAAATATGCCTGTTACTTAGATGGGGTGTTTAGTGAAGAAAGCTAACAGCAAATCAAGTTTGAAAAGAACTTTTAAAAGTATCTTTTAGTATAAGTGTTTGCTTTCACTAATGAAAACATTTGCAAATGGGGTCACTTTGTGTCTTTCCACTAAGCATTTAAATATTTCTAGTAAACTTAACATTTCATAGGTGTGTTATCTCCGGTAAGGCAAGGCAAGGCAAGCTTAAGATCTGTGAAATAAGCTGGCATATGCCTCATTAAAACGCAACCCTTCTACCAGATACCTGGGCTGGCTGAACTAAACTACATTTGAAAGTACTGTGAAAAATATTAATTACTCTTGATCTTTCACCATCCTTGATTATTTAATTTATTTACTCATCTGATAGTTTGCTACACCCTCAGGTTATTTCATTCCCATCTTAATTCTATACCATTTTATTTTTAATAATTGGACAACAGCTACACTATCATTATAGCAATGGTAAATAAAAGAATGTCAACTTTACTCATCACTTACTTTTAATAATTGTTCAGATTATTTGTTTTTATATTTGTATAAAATACCTTTTTTGACATTATAAAACAAAGATATTATGCTTGGCCTCTTAGACAATGTAGATAGCACCATGTTCTAAAATTTTAAGTTTTTTTCTCTTAATAAACTATGATTTGTGATATATACACATATCACAAATAATATATAATTATATATGTATAAAACATGCCTGCTATTTAGATAGATATATGGTTTTCTAACATGTTTTGTGTGTATATATATACATACATATATGTATATATACAAACATGTACATATATATGTATATATACACAAAACAAATATATAATATAAATATTACATATATATATATATATATATATATATATATATATAACATACCTGTTATTTAGATAGGGTGTTTAATTGTTTAATGAAGAAAGCTAACAGAAAATCAAGTTTGAAAAAGAAACTTTTAAAAGTATCTTTTAGTATGAGTGTCTCCTTTTACTAACGAAAACATTTGTAAATGAGGTCACTTTGTAAATATATGTATATTCACTAATTGCCTTAGGAAGCATTTTCTTTTTTTTTTTTTTTTGAGACGGAGTCTCACTCTTTCGCCCAAGCTGGACTGCAGTGGCGCTATCCCGGCTCACTGCAAGCTCCGCCTCTTGGGTTCATGCCATTCTCCTGCCTCAGCCTCCCGAGTAGCTGGGATTACAGGCGCCCACCACCACGCCCGGCTAATTTTTTGTATTTTTAGTAGAGACGGGGTTTCACCGTGTTAGCCAGGATGGTCTCGATCTCCTGACCTCGTGATCCGCCCGCCTCGGCCTCCCAAAGTGCTGGGATTACAGGCGTGAGCCACCGCGCCCGAGGAAGCATTTTCTATGCCAGGTCCTTTGTTTGGAAATTACACTGGATACCACTTGCAGGATTACATCCAGTATAGCTAAGACCTAGATCATCACTTATGTTATTATAAAATGTGATGATCCAGGTCTTAGATGTATTGGATGTAATCCTGCAAGTGGTAGCCAATGGCACAGCTTGCTTCTAAGCAAACAATGAAAAGCAGCTGTTAACACACAGGATGCTATAATTTGTATAACATGCACTCCACCCAGTCTACAATTTATTGCATCAGGAACTAAAGAGTGATTCCTCAAATTAGGCTGGATAGTGGCTCATAAAATACAAAGCATGAGGGCAGTGTCTAACAAATTCATAGTATCTCATTATTAACTCTTTGGCTAATTATTAGCAGTTCTTATTTTGGTCCTAGTCTTCATGCAAGGAATATAGTTTCAAACTGTAGAAAAAAACAGGAAATATATAATAGAGAAAGAAGTAATGCATAGAACAACAACAAAAAATACAATTAATAGTACTAGAATAAGGAGGAGGGATCCTTCTACAAAAGAAAGACTGAGTGACCAATTCATAGGATAGGAGTGCACTCCTATCCAGAGGTTATATGTGTCTCTGCCAACATTATTATTTGTTTTTTGTTTTTTTTTTCCTCAGTGTATCCATTCACTAAGTATTCATTAACAGAGTTAATCTAAACATGACTCTCTTTTAACAATTTACAAAAGGCTCAAAAACAGGCATAGGAAAGATGACGGGTAAAGAATTTAAAAGAAGCCATATCTATAGAAATCAATTTTATAATTTTTAAAAAATTTCTATGGGTACATGTTATTTATTGTTTATAAAAAATAAAAGATAGAAACAGCATACAAAATTGTTGCTGAACATTTACAATTCAATATATGTGACAGTTAATTATATATGTCAGCTTGACTAAGCCAAGATACCCAGATCAAACACCAGTCTAGATGTTTCTGTGACAATTATTTTTGCATGAACTTCCTATTTAAACAAGTAGGCTTGAGTAAACAGATTACCCTCCATAAGGTGGATGAGCCTCATATAATCAGTTGAGGACCTTAGGAGAAAATCACTGAAGTCTTCTAAAAACAAGAGAATTCTGCCCCCAGACTGTTTTGACTCAAGCTACAGCATCAACTCTTCCCTGAATCTCTGGACTGCTCTAACCTAGAAATTTTAGACTTGTCAGCCTCCACAATCATCTGAGCCAATTTCTTTAAATAAATCTCATATGTATAGATAGAAATACAGACATATATAAAATCTCTCTCTCTCTGTCTCTCTCTCTATATATATGAGTGTGTGTATTATTGATTCTTTTCTCTGAAGGATCCCTAATACAATATATTATCTTTTTATCAATAATTTTTATTGGTATCTATAATTGGCATTACATTAGCATTTAAGAACCTACAGAATGTAAATGATAAACATGTTGGGAAATATCAAGGCAAGGGATAGCTATACTTGATTTAATCCCCATTGTAATTAACTGAGGGACATTGTTGTTGCCTCTGGGTGGCTCCAGGGTTTCCCGTCAAGAACACAACAAAATTCCCATTATTCAGGCTAAGCAGGAGAACTTTCATGTTCCTCACAGTAAGGAAACCTGGGTACAATAAAAATCAGTATCAACCACAATATAATTAGTGACAAGTCCCAGTATTCACATTTGCTATTAGTTTCAGAGAGTTACATGCCAAAAACCAAGCTTGACATGTATATGGACTCCATCTCTCTAAGGCTACATATAGATAATCATGGTCACATTGACAAATGAGATGCAGAATTTCTAAGTTCTGAAGAGTATCTTCTCTTGAACTTGAGTGAATCCCTCCTTCTCTATTACAGAGATTGCCTTTTGTTGCTTTAATTCTCACTATCCTGAAACTCACAGCACTGTCTTCAACAGAGCCCTCATTTCTTCAGAGAGAATAAATCATTTAGTCATTAAGAAACAAGCAAAGAAAAGATCCAAAATGGATAGCATCAACAATTATTTCACATGCTAGAATGAGATTACCTTTCCCCACTGAAATCTTAGAAGGAGTTGCTAAAAATGTCTTCTATCCCCTGTGTTAATACATACAGGCTAGATTGTACTGTTATGATAAATCCCAAAATAAATCTTAATGGCATTTTAACAACAAAGGGTTATTTCTTGTTTATATTATGTGTCCATCACAGAATGCACTGGGGATTCTGCTCTAGATCTCCTAGTTTCAAGTCTCAGGCTGAGAAAGTATGCATCACAGAGAACATTCCATCAGGATTGAAGGGCAACAGGAAGATGGTGAATCGTTCACTAGCTTTTGCAGCATTTGTCTGGAAAAGACACACATATTTCCAGTCACATTTCATTGGCCAAAGCATTGGCCACAACTAACTTCAAAGGATTGAAGAGGTCCAATCTTACCATATGCCTAAAAATGTATTAATCAGAGATATTTGACGAACAACTTCAATGATCACCACACTTTCCCTGCAGAGATGCACAGTTCAAGAAGGTGACTGTAAGCATTGTATTTTGGAGAACACTGCTGAGGGTGATCTAGACCAGTGTTCCCCAAACTTTATGGCAGCAGGGACTGGTTTTGTGGAAGACAATTTTTCCACAGACCTTCGAGGAGAAAGGGATGGTTTGAGGGTGAAACTTTTCCACCTCAGATAACAAGACATTAATTAGATTCTCATAAGGAGCATGCAACCCAGATCCCTTGCATGCACAGTTCACAATAGGGTTCCTGTTTCTATGAAACTCTAATGCTGCCACTGATCTGACAGGAAGCTGAGCTCAGTTTGCTCCATTGCCTGTGGCTCACCTCCTGCTGTGAAGCCCATTTCCTAACAGGACAAAGACCTGTTACCCATCATCTGCCCAGGGGTTGGGGACCCCATATCTAGACTACAGGATTATTAATCAGCCAATGCAAATGAAGCATCTACTAGGCAATAAGCAACATATGAAGTCACTGATACACATTTTCTCCTTTATTTTTCAAATTACCCTATAAGTATTATTATTTTTACAATTATGTGGAATGAAAGCTGCCATTTTAATACTTAAGTTATTTGATCAAAATCATACTTCAAATGAGTTATAGAGCAAGAATTCTAACTCAAGATTGTCTGATTCCAGAGCCAAAGCACTTATATCCATCTGCTATTCTTTAATATTGTCAGTGTTCATAGTCAGAGTTTGAGGATCAGAGGCATCAAGAAAAACTGCAACAAAAAAGTGAGGGAGGATAAATGAGGAATAATCAAAATGTAAAAGCACATGGAGATCTAGCTAAATGGGATAAAGTGGGAGCAATTTTAATTGATCTGTGTGTAACTTGAGTTCATTGTAGCTTGAACTACATTGAGGACCATTCAAATACTAGCAGTAACAGTAAAATGTAGGCTGGGTGCGGTGCCTCATGCCTGTAATCCCAGCACTTTGGGAGGCCCAGGTGGGCGGATCACCTGAAATCAGCAGTTTGAGACCTGCCTGACCAACATGGTAAAACCCTGTCTCTACTAAAAATACAAAATTAGCCAGGCATGGTGGGACATGCCTGTAATCCTAGCTACTTGGGAGGCTGAGGCAGGAGAATCACTCAAACCCGGGAGGTGGAGGTTGCAGTGAGCCAAGATTGTGCCATTGCACTCCAGCCTGGGCAACAAGAGCAAAATTCCATCAAAAAAAAAAAAAAAAAGAGTGAAATGTAAAATGCTGATTACATATATGGAATTATTACTAATTGAGTATCTCTGGCATGTCACTTAATCTCTTTTTTTCTCAGTTTTCCTATATCTCAATTACAGCAATAATAATATTTAACTTAAAGATTAATAAATGGCCTTAGTTAAAGAGCTCCAAAACAGTTAAAGCACAACATTTTCAATACGTGTAAGGTGTTATTATTTTATATATATCAGACTCTAATTTTATTTCATATCCATAAGAACTTATGAGTTAAGTACTATTATTATTGCCATGTTACAGTTGGGTAAACATGGGCTAAAAAGGATTACATAATGGTAGAACCGCAAGTTAAATCTAGTTCTCTGACATGAGGACCTATAATCTTTACCTCAAAAGATTTTTTCTATAACAACAGAGAAAGACAGCCTTTGGATCTCCAGTAGAGGTAGCTAATTACTTTCTTTGAGTTTATGATATAAACCATTAATTTATACTGTTTTCTACAGCATCACATGAGTACACATGTGTGGCCAATATATGGGAATAGCTGGATTTTAAACACCAGTCACTGAAGTGAATACACTCAACTGTATTTGAAGCCAATGCACTCAGCTGTATTTTAAGCCAATACGTACTTTTGAAGAAAAAACACACATAAAGATAGCATGAGTTGAATATTCCCCATCTCTTTCTACCACCTTCAAGAGCCGTGCACATTTTTCTTTCTATCTCTGGCTGAGAAGAGCTGGTTTAAGGACTGACTACTTAAAATAAGCTATACTACATGACATGGTAGCTACTTCATGAGAATTTTCTTACTACCCATATTATGCTTTAATTATTTGTTTGTGTTAATATCATGATGCATTCATTCAACAAGTACATATGGACTGACTTACCCTGTTATTAGTACTGAGGGAATAGCAGTAAACAAGATATGTCTCATGGACCCTACATTCTGAAGGGGCAAGGGCAAATGTGAAATTAATTATTCACCTAACTTACACGTAAAAAAAAAATCATTTGAGCTTATTTACAAATGAAAAGGAAGAAACTTCCTTAAAATATGGGGGGAAAAGGTCTAGACAGAAGCACAGTTAGTGCAAAGACCCTTAGGTGGACGCACCATGGGTGCATTTAAAGAAAGAAACTGGGACAAGTTCTCATGATATGTTGCTGGTGAGAGGAAGGTGATAGAGAGAGCAAACCAGGAGCCAAATCATTATGGTTTGAAAGAAAAGAAATTCACATTTTCTTTCATTTGTGGGATAAGTTATATTGACAAAATATACTGGAATTTACAGGTGCATGCTGAGAATAGGATGGCAGTATGCTTGCCAAACCCATGTCACTTTGCTCTGGCTCTGTCCATTGGAATCACTGTCTAGTGGGGCTTTTCATAGGAGGCATGTGCCTTGGTCAGGGTATGGAGATTTGGGGTTCTTGTTTTTTATGCCCTTTCATTCTCCCTTTTCTGAATAAAGTAGGGCTACTACAGACAGATTTTTACTTAGCACATCAATATATTTTCATTAGGACTAACAATTTATCGTTCTTTCAATATACTCATCAGTCACTTTAAAATACTCTCACATGCAACATTATTTTTCTTTGGTGGAAGATTAAGATGAATGATCTGAATAAATATGCTTACACTTATGGGAATTTCTTGAGGGAAAGTGATCTAGTTCGTATATGCAAAAGATCACTATAAAATTAACACTTAATCATATATTGCTTCTCGAAGCCACCTACTGCCTTAAAAACTTTTATTTAAAAATCATAAAGAAAGCTTTCAGTCACAAAGGAAGTCATAGAATATTCTCCTGTGACTCAAGGTACCTTTTAGTGATGAAATAAACAGCCTGTGCGTTTTCCCCCTCCTAAGAAAGGCAGCTACAGCTCCTTCTCTTTGATCTGACATATTTTCCAAGCTTGGAAAAAATCAGGTGAGATGGAAAAAAATGTATTCAGGCAAGAAAAATATTGTTTATAACACAAATACATTTAACATCTTAGAAGAAAATAGACGTTGTTAGAATATGACAATGATTCTGAAGATGGGTTATGTTCTGAAAAGGCTTCAATGGAAAAAGTTGATGGTGTTTATTAAAACTTATTTATTGATTTTTTGCTTTGAAAACTCTGCTATTATAATGAATTTTCTGTTCATGAACTAAGCCTGACCTGTCTGCCTATATCAGAAGCCAGCGAATGCTATTGAGGCAATATTTTAAGGGATCACTAACACACCCTGGCAACAACCCAAAGTTAACCTGTTCCAGTAAAGAAATATCACATTTAGGGAAGTAAATAGATGCTACTATGTAAAGAGAAGAAAGGTGAAAGAAAGTATAATAAATATAATTTCTACAAACACCAGAATTTAAGGGATCAGCTTGGAAGATAACAGTTTTTAAAAATTTGGTAAATTATGTAACCCATAATAACATTTCAGTATTTTAATTCAGCATACTTTAGTTGATATTGTATGGGTTTCAACTAACAGGCACCAATTTGGGATAGTTCAACTGGCAGAAGCATTTGAACTAGAGCAACTCCATCTTGAATAGGGGCTGGGTAAAATAAGGCTGAAATCTACTGGGCTGCATTCCCAGGATGTTAGGCATTTTTAGTCACAGGATGAGAGAGGAGGTCAGCATAAGATACAGGTCAAGAAGACCTTCTTGATAAAACAGCATGTGGCAAAGAAGCCAGCCAAATCCCACCAAAACCAAGATAGTGATGAAAGTGACCTCTGGTCATCCTCAGCACTCATTATACACTAATTATAATGCGTTAGCATGCTAAAAGACCCTCCCACCAGCACCATGCCAATTTACAAATGCCATAGCAATGTCAGGAAGTTACCCTATATGGTCTAAAAAGGGAAGAAACACTCAGTTCTGGGAAATGCTCACCCCTTTCCCAGAAATAATCTACCCTTTGTTTAGCATATAATCAAGAAGTAACTATAAGTATAATCAGTTGAGCCACAGATGCTGCTGCTCTGCCTATGGAGTAGTTATTCTTTTGTTTCTTTACTTTCTTAATAAAGTTGCTTTCACTTTATGGACTCACCCCAAATTCTTTCTTGCAGGAAGTCAAAGAACCCTTTCGTGGGGTCTGGATCAGAACCCCTTTCTACACAACCAATAAAGGAATTTGATAGAAGGATGCGGGGGCAATCAAAGCTGAAAGCAAAGGGTAGTCTTGGTGAATAAGAAGTAAGAACTGGAAAATCAACAAGGACTAGAGAGTAATTTCTACTGATCCTACATGACTCTGCTTTGCACCTCTGATTCATTCTTTCTTCTGAAGATTAACTTTACTTTCTCTACATCTGCAAATTTATATTATTATATTTATAGCATTATCATAAAATCTAAATACCAATCCCAAAGTTTTTTGAGAGAGCAGCTGTTTGCCTAGCTGGGAGCATGTGTAGATCTCTATTCCAATAATTTATCGCTAAGAGTTTATGGTTACATCACACAAACATTGGCAGAAGACTAATATCTTTAGTGAAAAGTCTTTTCTCATTGAAAAAGAAATTGTAAAATCAACCTTACTGTCCTATATGGAGAACAAGATATTATGTGCTCAAATCTAATATTAGAGTTCATATTTATTTATCACAATCAGGCGTAACAATCCCTTTGAAGTAGGTTTACTGCAAACAAATCAAGATGAGAATGTATGCCTTTCAAAAAAAATTATTCTCAAATGTTTTATATTTTAATAAAAATGCTGAGCTAATAAAAATTTGAACGTGCTGATTTGTCTCCTTTCTCAGTTTTGGTGTCATGCCACAACCAGTACCAGGCTCCCTGTCGCCACGGCCTGATCTGCTTGAAAGGGGGAAGCTGCACTCTGCCTTGTTACCTCAGATTGCAGCTTGAGCATTGATAATTATCATTATTGGTTAGCAGCCCATCACTTTCTTTTGTTCTTCACTTCCTGAGACCTTTTGAACAGACAGGTAAGAGTGTGGTGTTAACATTTCCAGACCCATATGTGAATATGTATTATGATGCTAATTGCACAGGTATTTGAATATTTGGAGGACAGTCACTAAAGAAATTTAGAATTACAAAGCCCACTTCATACTTTTTAGTAAGCAAGTGTGCTCATTTGAGAGAAGCGTTTGAACAAAAAGGACAGAAATCGTCATGAGGAGATTGTCTTTTCTGTCTTTAAAATAAAGAGATCACTTAAGAAGGAGGCTATTTTATTAAATAAAATGTAACAAATCTTTGGGTGTGTGTATTGTATGTGTGTGTGCCTGTGTGCATATATGTGAAAATAGATTTCCTGCATCTAACAACCATCCTACTAAGAAGGGATAAGTAACATTTTACAAGAATTATCCGAAGCTGGCTCCTCTTACTTCTTTGCCCACTTGTTTTTATTTCCTTCCCTACTTCTTTTTCCATTCTCTTAAAAAGTTTTGCACCATAGTCTAACAAAAATATTTTTGTGAGCAGGCAGAATAGAAGCCTCCAGCAATCATATCCCCAACAGGAACACCAATTAAACAGCTATCCACACAAAGAAATATCTCCATAAGAACCAAAAATAAGGTGGGCAATCACATTGCCTGGTTTAGAGGCACTGAAGAGAGTAGGAAAGACTGTCTTGAATTGCTGACATCACCTCTGCTGCATCCCCAGGCAGCAGCAACCTCATGGCACAAAGAGAGAATCATTTTACTTAGGGGAAGGAAAGCTCAGTGATTGTGGGACTTTGCTTTGGAACTCAATGCTGCCGGTCATAATGGAAAGCAACATGGGGCAGAATTCAGCCAGTGCCCACAGAGCAAGCATTTAGACCAGCCCTAGCCAGAGGTAAATTGTCCAGTCTGGCGGTCAGAACCTGAGTTCCAGCTAGCCATGCCACTGCAGGCCAAAGCACTCTAGGATCCTAAATAAATTTAGAAGGCGGTCTAGGCCACAAGGACTGCAAATCTTGGGCAAGTCCTGGTGCTGTGCTGGGCTCAGAGCCAGTGGAGTTGGGGTTCACATGACCTAGTGAGACACCAGCTTGGGGCAGCCAAAGGAGTGCTTGTAGCAACCCTCCTCCATTCCAGGCAGCACAGCTCTCAGCCTGGGAGAGACTGATTCCTTCTGCTTAAGAAGAGGAGAGGGGAGAGTAAAGAGGACTTTGTCTTACACCTTGAATACCAGCTCAGCCACAGGAGGACAGGGCACTAGACAGAGTCGTGGGGGCCCATCCCAAGGCCTAAACCCTGGATGACACATCCTGGGTCATAAGGGAACCTACTGCTTTGAAAGGAAGTACCTAGTTCTGACAGGATTTATCACCTGCTGACAGAAGAGCCATTGGGCCTTGGATAAACCAGACAGTAGTTTTTGTGGGCCTTGTCTGAGATCCAGTGCAATGCTGGCTTCAGGGGTGACCCAGCACGTTCCCAGCTATAATGGACATGTGGAGAGACTCTTGCTTGAGAAAATGAGAGGGAAGGATAAAGGGGACTTTGCCTTATAGCTTGGGTACCAGCTCTGCCGCAGTAAGATAGAGCACCAAGGGGCCTCCTGAGGTTTCTAATTCTAGGCCTTGGTCTGGGATGGTGACATTTCTGGATTCTGTGGGTCAGAGGAGAACCCACTGCCCTGAAGGGAGAGACCCAGGCCTGGTAGCATTTAGCACAAACTGACTGAAGAGCCCTTAGGCCTTGAATAAACATCAGTTACAGCCAGGCAGTGCTCACCACAGGCCTGGGCCACCTGACCTTGGGGAGAGACTCCTTCTTGAGGAAAGGAGACAGAAAAGTGGGAGGGACTTTGCCTTGAGGCTTGAGTGTCAACTCAGCTGCAGTGGAATAGAACACTAAATAGATTTCTAAGGTTCCTGACTCCAGGCTCTGGCTCACAGTCATTTCTGGACCCTATTTGGAGCAGGAGAAAGGGGACCTCACTGTCCTGAAAGGAAGAACAAGCCTGGCTGAATTCACAATTGAAGAAATGAATTCTTCAATTCAGGAGTGAAGAAAAAAATACAAAAGATCAACAAAACAAAAAGCTGGCTTTTGAAAAGATAATATTGGCAAACTTTTAGGCAGACTAAGAAAAAATGAGAGAAAACCTGAAGAAATAAATTCAGAGATGAAAAAGGATATATTACAACTGATAGCACAAAAATTCAAAGGTTCATTAGGGACTACTATGAGCAACTATATGGCAATACATTGGAAAACCCATAAAAAATGGATAAATTCCTAGACACATAAAACCTACCAAGATTGAACCATGAAGAATCCAAAACCTGAACTGACCCAAAACAACTAACGAGATTGAAGTCACAATAAAAAGTTTTCCAGCAAAGAAAAGTCTGGAACCCAATGGCTTCAACTGCTGAGTTCTGCCAAACATTTAAGAAGAATTAATACCATTACTATGCAAACTATTCAGTAAAATAGAGAAAGAGGGAATACTTTTAACTTCATTCTATGAGGCCAGTGTTATCTTGATACCAAAATCAGACAAAGACACATCAAAAAAAGAAAACCATTGGCTAATATCTCTGAAGGACATTGAAATAAAAATCCTCAATTCAGCAAACTGAATTCAACAACACATTAAAAAGATCATTCATCATGACCAAGTGGGATTTATCCCAGGGATGCAAAGAAGGTTCAAAATACAAAAATCAATCAATGTGATATAAACAGAATGAAAGACAGAAAAAATGGGATCATTTAAATTGATGCTGAAAAAACATATGTTAAAATTCAACATCCCTTTATGAGAAAAATTCAAAAAACTTGGGATAGAAGGAACATGCCTTAACACAATTAAAGCCATATATGACAGAAAAACAGCTAGCATTATAGTGAATGGAGAAAAACTGAAAGCCTTTTCTCTAAGATCTGGAACAAAACAAGAGTGTCCACTTTTTCCACTGTTAAGTCAATATAGTGCTAGATATCTTAGCTAAAGCAATCAGACAAGAGAAAGAAATAAAGGATATCCAAGTTGAGGAATAAGTCAAATTATCCTTGTTTGCAGGTAATATGATCTTATATTTGGAAAAAACTAAAAACTCCACCAAAAAACTACTAAAATTGAAAAACAAATTTAGTAAGTTGCAGGATGCAAAATCAATATACAAAAAATCAATAGCATTTCTATATGCCAACAGTGAAAAATCTGTAAAATAAATCAAGAAAGTAACCCCATTTACAATATCCACAAATAAAATTAAATACCTAGAAATAAACTTAATCAAAGAAGTGTGAAAACCCTACAATGAAAACTATAAAACACTAATGCAAGAAATCGAGGAGAACACAAAAAAGTGAAATGATATTTCATGTTCATAGATTGGAAAAATCAATATTGTTAAAATATGCACATGACCCCAAGTAATCTATAGATTCACTGTAATCCCCATCAAAACACCAATAACATTCTTCTCAGGAATATACAAAAAAATTCTAAAATGTATATGAAACCACAAAAGACCCAGAATAGTCAAAGTTATCCTCAGCAAAAGAGAACAAAACTGAAGGAGTTACATTATCTGACTTCAAATTATACTGCATAGCTATAGTAAACAAAACAGCATGATATTTGGCATAAAATTAGACCCATCAGCTAATGGAAGAGGATAGAGAACCCAGAAATAAATTGATACTACAGTGAATTCATTTTTGACAAAGATGCCAAGAACATACTTTGGGGAAAGGCCAGTGTCTTCAACAAATGGTGTTGAGAAGACTAGATATCCATATGCAGAAGAATGAAACTAGACCCCTATCTCTCACCATATACAGAAATTAAATTAAAGTAGACTAAAGTCTTAAATCTAAAACCTCAAAGTATGAAACTACTAAAAGAAAATATTGGGGAATCTCTCCAAGACATGCCTCTGGACAAAGATTTCTTGAGCAATACCTCATAAGCATAGGCAACCAAAGCAAAAGTGAAAACATGGGATTACATCAAGTTAAAAAAGCTTCTGCATAGCAAAGGAAACCGTCAACAAAGTTTAGAGACATCCTACAGAAGCAGAGAAAAATTTTTGCAAACTATCCATTTGACAAAGGATTAATAACAGTATATAAGGAGCTCAAACAAGTCAATAGCAAAATAGCTAATAATCTGATTTTAAAATGGCAGAATATCTGACTAGACATTTCTAAAATAAAACATACAAATGGCAAACAGACATGTGAAAAGGTACTCAATATCATTGATCGTCAGATAAATGTAAATCAAAACTACAATGATATATTATCTCATTCCAGTTAAAATAGCTTTTATCTGAAAGACATGCAATAAGGAATGCTGGAGAGGATGTGTAGAAAGGAGAACCCTCATATGCTGTTGGTGGGAATGTAAATTAGTACAACCACTATGTAGAACAGTATGGATAGTCCTCAATAAGCTAAAAATAGAACTACCACATCAACCAGCAATCCCACTGCCAGATATATACCTGTAAGAAAGGAAGTCAGTATGTGGAAAAGGTATCTACACTCCCATGTATATTGCAGCATTATCGCAATAGCCAAGATTTGGAAGCAACCTAAGTGACCGCCAAGAGATGAATGGATAGAGAAAATGTGGTATGTATAAACAATGGAGTACTATGTAGCCATTAAAAGAATGGGAGCCTGTCATTTGCAAAAACATAGGTAAAACTGGAGGACATTATGTAAGCAAAGCAAGCCAGGCAGAGAAAGACAAACTTCACATGCTATCACTCATTTGTGAAAGGTAAGAATTAAAACAATTGAACTCATGGGGAGAGAGAGAATAATTATGGTTACCAGAGGCCGGGGTGGGGCGTGGGGTTAGCGGGGATTAATGAGTACAAAAATATAGTTAGTTGGAATGAGTAAGGTCTAGTATTTGATGGAACAACAGTGTGATTACAGTCTACAATAATTTATTGTACCTTTTAAAGTAACTAAAAAAGTATAATTGGAATATTTGTAACACAAAGAAATGATAAGTGGTTGAGGTGATGGATTTACCCTCATTTACCCTAATGTGATTATGACATACTATATGCCTGCATCAAAATATCTCATATAACCCATAAATATATACACCTATTAGGTATGTATCCATAAAAATTAAAAAAATTAAAAATGTTAAAAACTCATGTCACTGTGCAATCGAGGAATATATAGTCCAGGTAAATAGTAAACTATAAAAAAAAGAAAAAAATTAAACTGCATTTCTTTTGCTTCAAAATGTTGCTTAATAACGTTAAATCTGCACCTCTGACTTAAAGAGAAGAATAAGATGATTTAAACACTTTCAAAATCTTAACATTTGGTTTACTAACAAATAAATACATACATTTTGTGATGAGAATTATCTTTTACATACCTGAAAAATAGACAAGTTGTCAAAATAAATTAATAGTTTCTTAAAGTAAAAACATCTAATCTTTTTTTAGATGTTATTGTATAAAATTAATCTCCATATAATATTCTAGTTTATCTGGGACTAATATCAAACTTCACAAAATTTGAAATTTATAAATTACTATAATAGTTTCATGAGTCAAATAAGTTATCTTTTTTCTGAGTTTTGCTTAAAATGTCAAAAATATAAAACTGTGTTTAAATAAAATTGTAATAGTGGATGTCTTTTAAAAAATGTTTAATCTCATTTCTTATCATGTCAAATATAATGGCTTCATGTATAGTCGTAAATCATAAGTTTTATTTCCTTAATTAAATTTAACAACTTCCACTAATATTAAATTGTATTAATAAATAGTGGTTGTTTAATTGAATAAATTTAAAGTAAGAAAATATTTAAAATATTAATTACTAAACTTAGTTTTAGTTTTATCCTTATTCATTACAGAAGAGGAAAAGGTTATCAGGATCTTCAAATGCCTTTGGGTGATGTTATAACTGTATTTATATATTTGAAAAGTTAATACAAAATAATTGCTCTTGAAGAAAAAAGGTAAGACATAAATTTCCTACTTTCTAGATTTGCCTTACTCTGAAGGAACAAATTATTGGTTATTTTGATTAAAGATGAGAGATTCTAAAAATGCTTGAAAGTACTAAGTATCAAAATTACAGGCACAGGCCGGGCATGGTGGCTCATGCCTGTAATCCCAGCACTTTGGGAGGCTGAGGCAGGCAGATCACGAGGTCAGGAGTTCAAGATCAGCCTGGCCAACATTGTGAAACCTCGTCTCTACTAAAAACACAAAAATTAGCTGTGTGTGGTGGCATGCATCTGTAATCCCAGCTCCTGGGGAGGCTGAGGCAGGAGAATCACTTGAACCCAGGAGGTGGAGGTTGCAGTGAGCTGAGATTGTGCCACTGCACTCCAGCCTGGACGATAGAGCAAGACTACATCTCCAAAAAAACAAAAAAGAAAGAAAGAAAAAAGAAACTATAGGCACAAAAATATCCACAAGATAGAGTGCTTAATTTTTCATTTTCTTAAGGAACCCATATTTTAATAATATTAAATAATGAATAAAAAATATACATTATTTTAGATAATATGTTGATAATGTCAATTATATTTTAAAGTTAAAGTCATTGTTTAATTTTATCATGTATCTAAATAA
Source organism: Homo sapiens (assembly GCF_000001405.40). NCBI lineage: Eukaryota > Metazoa > Chordata > Mammalia > Primates > Hominidae > Homo > Homo sapiens. The sequence continues at coordinate 94,457,587 of NC_000006.12, read as the reverse complement.
CTATGTATTTGTATATGTCTAAACTCATATATATAAATTTATACAGAGACTGTGATTGTGAATATGAATATACATAATAAAAATGACTAAAAACAATAAAAGATGTTAAATATTATAACAACTTTGACTCAGTGTAATAGCTTTATTAAAAAGAGAAAAGGTTTGTAGACCCTTCCCTGAAAAAATATTATTAGATAAATACATAAAAGGAAAATTAGAATATTTTTCTATGAAATTATCAAGTCATTATCTGCTCAGATAGAGATGCTTCATTTTCATTACCAAAGTATTTTGTTAATTCTCAGTACTTCTATAATATTCTTGAACTGAATTATTTTTCACTTGATCTTAGCTGAAAGGCTGAGAAGCAATGAATGGTACCATTTTTAAGTGTTCTGATTTTGAAGAATATAATTTAAATGGGTAAAATCATTGTTTCTTATTGATGGCCCTTATTTCTTACTTTGAATAAATATGGCTTATCTCTGTGTTTTGTCAAGTGTTTCTTTTTTTGTGTGTGTCTCAAATTCAGTCACCAACTTTAGAATAATAAATATCTGCAGATTTCTGGAAATGTCTACCAGATACCAAAATGATTGCTTCCTTCCTTGTATGAAAGAAAGATGATAAAAGTAATCAGGTTTGTTTGGCATTTCAGTTCTTATAGTTCACTATGAATAAGCAAGATATATTAATATAAATAAGTTTTAATGATTGCATCATTTTTAGTTCAAAAGCATATTAATGTTTAGGCACAAAGATTGGCAAAATATTTGTGTATGAATGGATTTATGTCTCTAAATTGTATATACTAGTCATTCAGAGACAATTGTCAACCCTTGTATGTCTTATGCCATAAATCAAAAGGTCCTAGACAACTGTCAATATCCTCACCATGAATAATATGTCCTTACTCCTAGAGCAATCCTCTACTACCTGTTTATAAACTAATTGTGTGTTATCCCTCAGAAGCGGTCTCCAATCTCTTTGATTTTGATAATGGTGGTTAATAATTTATTACCAAGGACAATTTCATTCTATCCCCATGGCATAGATAAATTATCTGCAATCTTAAGCCAACATTCGTAGGGCTATTTTATTCAAAATTCCTGAGGTTGTTTCTGGCATATGTCACATCTGCCAAGCTAATAACTCAGCAAAGCAGTAAAATCAAGAGCAAAGGTCTATCTGGATATTGAAAGAGAGATTTCTTCATATGAAAATGTGTTACTTACACATTGTGTATTTTCTGGATGGCTTATTTTTGTCTTCTAGACTTTGTATTTCCAACATGGTGTATACTGAAATACTTACTCACTGACTAAGGTACCCATTTTATAGGGACCGTACTGAAAGTGCTTTGTAAGCCATTGTCTATCATTAAGAAACACGGCATTCTTAATTACCTTCTTATAGGCTTTATCTCCAAATACAGCCAAATTGGGGTTGGAGCTTCAACATAAGAATTTGGTGGAGGGCACAATTTAGTTTATAGCTGAAATGGTCAAATACTTTAATGATTTAAGGCAGTATACTTATGTTTATAGCAAGTCCAAGTGGCTTTTCTCAAGGACAAATTCCTGGAACCCCTGCATTACCTTCATTCTGGAGAACTAGTTCTACCAAAATGGTACCAAGATAAGACTGATTTTAAATTTTGTTGAAATGGCCCTTAGGTACTATTAACTACAAATGTGGTCATTAAATCACAAGGATTAGATATCTAGACTCATATTTCCAAACTCAAAATAAATCATCACATTCACCTAACCTACAGTCTTTACAACTCAGAGATAAATAATTGAGAATCTCTCAAGATACTCCAGAGCAAATGGCATCATGAAGAGGACAGGTTTCTCAAGAACCTTGGATATAGCAGCAAACCTCCATATATAAACAGCTTCTACCCAAAAGATCCCTGGACAAAGATCCCCATATGCCAGGAGTCACTGACTGCCAAACAGTTCTTTGTCTCATTCTCCTTATTTTCACAGTAGTTATTTTCCCCTTCTGTTACTTTAAGATTTTAGACTATTAACTATCAAAATGGGAAACTTAAAGATGAAACAAAGATGAAACCTTTGTTATAACAATATGTGACTTGTGGCCCAAAATGTAATAAATAATAATAATAATAATGAAGAGGAGGAGGAAGGAGAGGGAGAAGAGGAAGAGAAGAAAATCTGGCCATTGTGCCACTCTCTAAATTACTTATTTCAGAGAATTCAGATGGAACTTGAGATTACAAACCTTCTTAAAAATCCAAAAAATAGTTACATAAGAAGGATCTATTTATAATCCTACTTTGTATATTCCTTGGTATCCCATCCTATGCTATATCTGGCCCAAAGTTTTAAATGTTTTTACACAGCTGATAACTTGGATTGATGATTAAAATCACCATAGAAAATCAGAAATCACATGAAAAACTAGTGATTGTGCTCAAGACTCTAATAGCTCCTGAGATCACAGAGAGCTATTTTTCTTCAGGCTCGGAAATCACATGGTTAAAAGAATCTAGATTCTGAAATTTAGATTAGGCATATTGGCCCTGAGGCCCATGGTAGCCCAAAGAAAGAACCACAAAAGACACTAATGGCCTAAAATAATTATTCCACTGTGGACTTATCACCTAGTTATTTCTTCCCAGCCCTCTTGTTAAACCCAAATTATCTGAGCAATGGTGCTAAACTGACTCTGGTCCTGCTGCCCTACATCCTGTCCTGTAATTAATCCAGCCTAAGCTGTCTTTTGGAAAAGTGTACTCCTTGGCAAATGTTTTGAACAAATAATGTTAAAAATCATTAAGAAACAATAAAGATTTGCATTTTATAAATTATTTTTTCTGCTTTTCTGCTTTATACTTCAAGGCTAACAGCAAGACATGATTTGTTTACTTAAAACTTACAAAAGTCATGTTTAGCATATCTACGTTTACTTGAGTTATTGAAACACAAGACTGAATGGAGAAGGAGATAAAAACGGTTTTTCAGATGATTACTAAAATTTTTGTGATCAGGATCTGAGACTATGAGTATCATTTCATCTCATCTATTACCATAAATTATATCCTATACATGCTAAAGAGATAGATCCACTGTCTTACTTGTCTCATTCAGCCGATTTTTACTGAAGACATTGTGTAAGCAAGTGCTGACTTAAGCTCTTGGGATTCAACAGTGAACAAAGCAGGCAAACATCATTGCCCTCCTGAGACTTAAAATCTATCAGAGGAAGACAGATAACACAGAAGTAACAAAAAATACATGCTGGGCAACATTATAGACCCAGATGCCAGGAAAGTACCAATATATGATTGCTGTCATGGAGTTTCATTCAATTTAATGTATTCATAAGAAGTTTTATTTTATTCTTTATATTTTTTATTTTTTAACTATATTTGAAAGTAATTTTAGATTTACAGGAGGTTGCAAAGGTAGTACAGAGAGGATTTGTGCATCTTTCTCCCAGTTTATTCAGATGATTAAAATTTACAAAATTTCAGTGCAATATCAAAACCAGAAATTAGACATTGATACAATGTATGGACATAGTTCTATGTCATTTTATCACATGTGCAGATTGGTGTAAACACCTCTGAAATCAACAGACAATAAATTCCTTCACCACAAAGATCTTCCTCTGCTATCCCTTTATATTCATACACATTCTCTCCCCCTGTATGGTCCCTAAACCCTGGCAAATACAAATCTGTCTTCTATCTCTACAATTTTATTATTTCAAGAATGATATGTAAATTGAAGCAAGCAGTTTTTGACTGTTTAAATTTCCTGTTTTCATTTAGCGTGATGCCCTTGATATCCATCCAAGTTGTGTTAGGTATTAATAGCTTTTTAATTACTGCGTAATATCCAATGGTGTGGATGGTCTGCATTTCGTTTACCCATTCACCCACTGAGGAAGATTTTACTTGTTTCAAGGTCTTAGCTATTACGAATAAAGCTGCTATGAACATTCATGTAGAGACTTTTATGTGTACATAGTTTTCGTATCTCCTGGGTAAATACAATTGTTGAGTCCCATGGCAGTTCCATGTTAATTTTCATAAAAAATTGCCAACCTGTTTTAGACAGTGGCTGTACTATTTTACATTCCTACCAGCAAAGTTTGAGAGCTTCAGTTCCTCTGAATCCTCACCAGCATTTGATTCTATCACTATTTTTGTTGTTGTTGTAATTTTAGCTATTCTAATAGGTATATGGTGGTATCTCATCATGGCTTAACTTGGATTTCCCTAACTACTAATGATGGTGAACATTTTTTCATGTGCTTATTTGCCAACAGTATATCCTAATCGGTGAAGTGTCTCCTCATGTCTTTTGCTCATTTCTAATTGATATTTTTAACAGTTGAGTTTTGAGAGTTATTTATATATTTTATATATGAGTTCTTTGTCAAATAGGTGGTTTGTAAGTAATTTATTTTCTTTTGTAGTTTGCCTTTTCATTCTCTCAAGTGGGAATTTCATATCAAATATTTAAAATTTTGATAAATTCCAAATTATCAACTTTTATGGACCCTGTGTTCACTGTCAAGTTTAAAAACTCCTCACTAGGCCCTAGGCTTTAGAGATTTCTCATCTATTAGTCCTAGGATATTTTTTGGTAAGTACATTTACTGGGGATTTGTATTAGTCTGTTCTGGTACTACTATAAAGAAACATCTGAAACTGGGTAACTTACAAAGAAAAGAGGTTTAGCTGGCTCACGGTTCTTCAGGCTTTACAGGAAGCATGACTGGGGAGGCCTCAGGAAATATTTAGTCATGGTGGAAGGGGAAGCAGGCACATCTTACATGGTGGAAGAAGAAGGAAGATAGTGAAAGGGGGACAACCATATCTAGTGAGAACTCACTCAATATAATGAGAACAGCAAGAGGGAAATCTGCCCCCATAACCCAATCTACTTCCCACCAGGCCGCTCCTCCAACACTGGGGATTACAATTTGACATGAGAATTGAGTGGGGACACAAATCCAAACCATATCAGAAGTTTTCGTACACAATTATGTTATCTACAAATAACAACAGTTTTATTTCTTTTTTTTTTCTGATCCATAGGGGTTTTGTTAATTTTTCTTGCCTTATTGGATAGAACTTCCAGTACTAGGTTGAATAAAAGTGATGAGGGTGGATGACAATGACTTCTTCCCAATCTTATTTGCTTTTTTTTTTTTTTTTTTTGAGATGGAATCTCGCTCTGTTGCCCAGGCTGGAGTGCAGTGGCGTGATCTCGGCTCACTGCAAGCTCCACCTCCTAGGTTCATGCCATTCTCCTGTCTCAGCCTCCTGAGTAGCTGGGACTACAGGGGCCCGCCACCAAGCCTGACTACTTTTTTGCATTTTTAGTACAGATGGGGTTTCACTGTGTTAGCCAGGATGGTCTTGATCTCTTGACCTGGTGATCCGCCCACCTCAGCTTCCCAAAGTGCTGGGATTACAGGCGTGAGCCCCTGTGCCCAACCACCTTGTTCCCAGTCTTAAGGGGAAACTGTTCCATTTTTTGTTATTCAGTTCTACAGGATTAGATGTAGATTTTTTAAAGATTTTTTTAAAATCAAGTTGAAGAAATTTCCTTTATTTCTAGTTTTCTGATAGGGTTGCATTTATTTGTTTTAAAAATGAATAATTGTTCAGTTTAGTCAAATTTTGCTTGTTTGGCATGCAATTGATTGTCATCATGTTTTTTCATAATTATGTGTGTGGTTTTTTTTTGTTTGTTTGTTTGTTTTTAGCCTATTAAAATGGTTGACAGCCGGGCGTTGACAGCCGGACACGGTGGCTCATGCTTGTAATTCCAGCACTTTGGGAGGCCAAGGCTGGCATATTGCCTGAGCTCAGGAGTTCGCGACCAACCTGGTTAACACGGTGAAACCCCGCTTCTACTAAAATACAAAAAAAAAAAAAAAAAAAAAAAAATTAGCAGGGCGTGGCAGCTCCCACCTGTAGTCCCAGCTGCTCAGGAAGCCAAGGCAGGAGAATTGCTTGAACCCGGGAGGCAGAGTTTGCAGTGAGCCGAGTTTGTGCCATTACACTCCAGCCTGGGCAACAGAGCAAGACTCCATCTCAAACAAACAAACAAACAAACAAACAAAACAACAACAACAAAAAACAATGGTTGACTACATTTACTGATTTTTGAATATTGCACATTCCTGGAATTTCTGAAATAAATTTCACTTGGTCATGATACAGAATCCCTTTTATATATCACTGAATTCTATTTGCTAGTATAGTGATACCTTGGATACTGAAATCTGTGGATACTCGAGTCTCCGATATAAAATGGTATAGAACTTGCGTTTAATCTATGCATATCCTCCTGTATACTTTAAAGCATCTCTAGATTACTTATAATACCTAATATAATGTAAATGCTCTATATATTAGTGTTATACTGTATTGTATGGGAAATAATGACCAGACAAATTCTGTACATGTTTAGTATAGAAGGAATTATTTTTTCAATATTCTTGATCCATTGTTGGTTGAATCCATGGATGCAGAAACAATTAATATAAAGAGCTGGTTGATTTTTGTTAAGAATTTTGCATTTATATTCATGAGATGTATTAGTTTATAGTTTTTATTTATCTTTGTTGGTGCCAGGGTAATACAGGCTGCATAGAATAAGATGGTTAAATGTTGCCTTCACTTCTATTTTCTGGAAATTAGTTGGTAGAATTTGTATTATTTTGTTTCTAAATGTTTAGTAGAATTGTTCAGTGAATTCATCAAAGCCTTGAGTTTATTTTTTTCAGGAGGCTTTAATTATGAATTAAATTTCAATACTAATTATAGGACAATTTAAATTATACATTTCATATTGAATAAGTGGTGATAGTTTTTGCTTTTCAAAGAAAAGTAATTGTCAAATTACTAAATTGTCAAATTTATGTTTTTAGACATTTGTATTATTTACTCATTATACTTTTAATGTCTGCACGGTTTTTAGTCAGATTCTCTGTTTTATTCTTGATATTAGTAATTACTAATTACTAATCTCTTTTTTTATCTGTCAATTTTGTTCAAAATTTATCAATATATTTTTGATCTTTCAGAGAACCAGCATTTTGTGTCACTAGTTTTCTTTATTGTTTTTCAGTTTTCAATTTTGTTGATTTCTGCTCTTAGCTTTATTATATTTTCTTTCTTCACCTTGCTTCAAGTTTATCCTGTTGCTATTATAATTTCTTGAGGTAGAAGCTTAGATTATTAATTCGAGTCTCTTTCTCTCTCCTGATGTTGACATCTACTGTTGAAATTTCTGTCTCACCATATCTTGTATTTTCAGTTCTTTGAGTTCAATGTATTTTTAAAATTCCCCTTGAAACTTTCTCATTGACTCATGTACTATTCAGAAATATCATATTTAGCATTCAGTTATTTAGAGAACTTCTCACTGTTTTTCCTTTATTCACTTCTAATTTGATTAAATTGTGCTGAGAGAATATATTGTATACTATTTCAATTTTTTAAATGTATTGAGGTTTGTTTTATGGCCCAAGATATTGTCAGCTTGCTATATGTTCAACGAACACTATACAAGAATGTTCATTCTTTTGTTACTGGGTGGAATGATCTATAATAAAAGTCAATTTGATCTTATTGGTAGGTGGTATTGTGAATTTCTATAGCCTTGCTAATTTTCTGTCTAGTTTTTCTATAAATTGTTGAGGTAGAGATCTTAAAATCTCAAACTGCAGTTGTTGATTTGGCCAATTTTTCTTTTTAGTTCTGTCCGTTTTGGCTTTGAATATTTTATAGCTCTGTTTTTTGATACACACACATTTAGGATTGACATTTCTTCCTGATGGATTGATTCTTTTATTATGTAAAGTCTCTCTCGTTGCCTGAGTTTGCTTTCTTTTGATTAATGTTTGTGTAGCATATCCATTTCATTCTTTTACCTTCCATCTACCTATGTGAGTATATTTGCAGTGAATTTCTTCTAGATGGCATACAATTGAATTTTGTTCTTTTACACGCTCTGCCAATTTCCATCTTTATTGGTGAACTTACACCATTATATGGTTTGGCTGTGTCCCCACCCAAATCTCATCTTAAATTCCCATATGTTGTGGGAGGGACCCAGTGGGAAGTAATTGAATCATGAGGGCAGGTCTTTCCCTTGCTGTTCTCATGATAGTAAATAAGTCTCATGAGATCTGATGGTTTTAAAAAGAGGAGTTCTCCTACACAAGCTCTCTCTCTCTTTGCCTACCGCCATCCATGTAAGACGTGACTTGCTTCTCCTTGCCTTCCACCATGATTGTACGGCCTTTCCGGCCATGTGGAACTGTAAGTCCATTAAACCTCTTTCTTTTGTAAATTGCCAAGTCTTGGGAATGTCTTTATCAGCAGCGTGAATACAGACTAATACAAACTATTTATATTTAATGTAATTATTAATGCTAGTCCTTAAATCTTCCACTGTATTTGTTGTGTTTTTTTCTTTGTTCTCTATGTTTTTTTTCATTCTCTATTTTTTTTAACTTTTTTTGTGTGTTGCTTAAACATTTGTTAGAGTTTTATTTTGGTTTATCTTAGTGTTTTTGAGTGTTTGTCTTTGATAGTTCTCTTAGTTGTTGCTCTAGGTATTAGTAAACACAGACAGACACTTAAACACACACACACAATTTATGATGGTCTATTCGTGTCAACCACTTATACCAGTTCAAATAAGTTGTTTTTGAGTGTTTGTCTTTTATAGTTCTCCTAGTTACTGCTCTAGGTATTAGTAAACACACACAGACACTTAAACACACACACACAACTTATGACAGTCCATTTGTGTCAACCACTTATACCAGTTCATATAAGTTGTAGAAGTTTTACCTTCCTTAATACCCCCTCTTTTCCCAATGTATAATATAATTATTTTAAATATTTATTCTCCAAACACTTAGAACATTACACAGTATTAGAAACTTTGCTTCAGCTGGCTAGCATAATTTAGAAAACTCAAGAGTAGAAGAAAATTTTATAGATAGAACATTTTTGCTCTCTTGTTTTTTCTTCCTTCTTGAAACTCCAAGATTCCTGCTTTTATTATGGATTGCTGTTTAAAAAATTGTCTTTAATAATACTTTTGGGGGATGTCTGCTGATGACAAATTCTGTTCATTTGCCTTCATGTGAGAATGTTGTGGTTTTCCTTCATTTGTAAAGGATAGTTTTGTTAAAAATACAATTCTGTATTGAAATTTCTTTTTCTTAAGGAGATCACTCCTGTTCAATTCCTTTCCCCCCACCCCACCCATATAATGCATTGCTTCTCTCAGACTGCTTCCAAGAAGTTTTCTTTGTCCTTAGTTTTCAGAAGTTTGTCTATGATGTGTTTACATGTGAATTTCTTTGGGTTATCTTATGTGAAATTTACTCAGCTTTTACATATTGAAAACATATGTCTTTTGCCGGATTTCAAACAAAAAAGTAATTTTTGATACATTTTTCAACCCAATTCTTTCTTCTTTTGTTCTAAAATTTGATAACATAAATGTTAGATGTTTTGTTGCAGTCTCTCATGTCCTGAAGCTCTATTTATTTTTTATTGTATAAAGTTTATTTTCTTTCTGTCTTTCAGATGTAATCATTTCTATTGTTCAATCCTCAGGTTCACTGATTCTTTTTCTGCCCTCTCCATTGTGTTGCTGAGCTCATCTACTTAGATATTTATTTTGACCATATGTCTTTAATTCTATAAATTTCATTGGAATCTTCTTTAAATTTATTTGCTGTTGCTTTCTATTTTCTTTATTTGGTTTAAGTAATTGCATATTGAAGCATTTTTATATTGTCTTCTTTAAAACCTTTTTAGATAACTTTAATATTTGTGCCATCTTGGTGTCTATTGATTGCCATTTCTCCAAATGTAAATTTTTGATGAATGATTTTTTATCAAAACATTGATATTTTTGGAATTATAATAATATTAAAATATAAATATTAATGTATATTAATATTATAATGTTCTAAATATTATAATATTTGTAACATTGTATAGTTATTTAAATTTTATGTTTTAGCAGTCTTCCTCTGGCATAGCTTTGATAGAGAAACTGGGATGCCATCGTATTATTGCTAGGTGGGTATGGAAGTACAGGTTCTCTATGATCACATTTCATTACGATCAACTCATACATCTTCTATGAAAAAATTTCCTACCACTCACATTAGCACTTTGCATATGACATATCTCAATACCAGTCCTAATCTCCAGTATCCCACCCCAAACATAAGAAATATGTCTGACAAAAGAGTTACTTTGATATAATAAATTATAGAGGTTCAAACCCTCTTATTTCTAGAATTAGAGGAATTGAACCAACCCCTGGGAATCCAAAATTATCTGTGCTACCCAATATACCACATCCTATAGTAAGGTCAGCTAAATAAGCTATTGGGTCCATACCCCAAAAATATTGGTTATACCCTTCCCGTACTAATTAACCCTCTAGTCCAATTTTCACCCGAACTTCTAGGTGATCGAGACAACTATACTTCAGCTAACCCTCTCAACACCCTGCCCCATATTAAACCAGAGTGGTATTTCTTATTTGCCTATGCAATCTTATGATCTATCTCTAACAAATGAGGGAGTGTATAAGCTCTTGCATCCTCCATTCTCATTCTAGCAATTATCCCTATGCTTCACATATCTAAATAACAAAGCATAACATTCAGACCATTAAGCCAGTGCTTATTCTGAATCTCAGTGACTGATGTATTTACACTAACATGAATCAGGGGCAACCAGTTGAACATCCTCTTATCATCATTGGACAAACAGCATCCATTGTGTTCCTCTCTATTATCCTCACCTTTATGCCTCGAAATACCCTGAGGCTTGACCATCTTTTGACACCAGGAAGTATGGGAACTCGTGAAGGCCTTTTTGTTCCTGAGTTGGGGTGGAAAATAAGAATCGTCCACTAGGCCTCTGCTGATATCATCCTCTCTGGGAGTGTAAGGAGTGCCTCATTACCATTTTCAGGTGGTGGCCACTGATATTATAGGGGACTCTATAAAACCCTGTAAAATCTTGACTCTCTACTAGCCCTCTTTTGACATCACCTCCAAAATGGAAAGAAAAGGCCACCTTATCACTGCTGGATAGTTCTAGAAGTTCAGATTTCCTAGTCTCCACTGGCTGGCATGGCAGATAGAGTGAGGATGTTCCTTAAGACTGGGCGGAAATGCAAGTGCCGACTTCCACATGGTCTTCTGTGACACCACCTCAGCAGGGAGATTACCTCATCGCAGCTTAGTGGAGGTGAAATTCCAGGCTCCCCATTCAGCATTTTTTAGCCAAGACCACAGATTCTTTCTTCTTTTTTGTTTTTCTCTGTAGTGTTTGGCTGGAGTAGAGTTGTTATTGTTTAAAAGGTTGTCTGTTTTCCAGTATTTTTGCTAAAGAGAATAAGCTTTTCTTGCTTTTTGATTGTTTGTTTTGGGATATTTTTGCCTGTGTCAGTTGATGTTTCTGGGTCTTCAGCCTCTTTAATAACCAGTCTGGGATATAGAAAACAAAAAGTCACCCAGGAAACTCATTACCATACCATTTCTTGTGTTCCATGGTCCCTATCCTCTGCCTTTTTCCCCTCCATCTTTCAGAATTTTCCTGTGTGTTTTATATTTTACAACTACGAAATTTAGTTGTATTTAGAGAGATGATTACAGAAATGTTTGGCTACTTATGTTCCTTAAACGGCAATACCTTTTATCTTTATAAAAATATTTTATTTGTTTTACATTAAAATAAAGGTGAGTTTCATAGATCTTATATTGTACTTCTGGTTTCTGCCTTCTGCCTTCATTTGTAGTATTAGTGAGGCACATGCACAAAGAACAAAACTTTCACTTTAACATAACTAAGAATACAACTTATGTTTTTGCCCAATACTTTTCAGATGGGATGTAACTAACTCCTATCCCAACTCATTAGATGTATTTAATGCATGTATCTCAAGGGTAATTTTCAATATCTACTCCCATTTATCTTACTCTATTAAGTTCCACCTTCCCTGCTATAATAGCACTATTAGTTATCATTAGAATAAGGATAATTAAAATAAAAGAGGTTCATGTTCAATATTGCTATATTAGGTACCTTCGCTGTCTCTCTTGACTTCAACACTTTCTTCCCTGCCTTTTTATCCCATGCAGTACTGAAAGATAACTGTCCATTTTTACTGGACACTTCTATTAGTCTAATTTCTTCTCTATTCAAAAACATATATAGCTAATACTCTCTCTAGATGAACATAACATATCTTCCATTTTGTCAGATTGTATCTATCTCACGATTGGATTGCTTGAATACACTCACATGCCAAAGTCAAAAATTTTTCTCTTCAAGATGAAGCTTCTTTTTACTTCAAGTTTTTAAATGCTAGTTTCTGATTGGTAAAATGGGGCTAATTTTAATACCTACTGGATAAGATTTTTATGATTACAAAATGAAATTACATTTTATTTAAAAGTAAAGATCAGGCATGGTGGCTCACGCCTGTAATCCCAGCACTTTGGGAGGCTGAGGAGGGTGGATCACCTGGGGTCAGGAGTTCAAGACCAGCCTGACCAACCTAGAGAAACCTCGTCTCTACTAAAAATACAAAATTAGCTAGGTGTGGTGGCAAATGCCAGTAATCCCATCTACTCAGGAGGCTGAGGCAGGAGAATCACTTGAACCCGGGAGGCAGAGGTTGTGGTGAGCCAAGATTGTGCTATTGCACTCCAGCCTGGGCAACAAAAGTGAAGCAAAACTCCACCCCCACCCAACCCCCCGCACAAAAAAAAAAAAAGAAAAAAGAAAAAAAATTATGTCTAGCATGTCAACACTCAGAATATTAGTTATGGTAATTATTATTTTCAGAAACCCTTTAAATTCTTACTTATCTTACCAGGTCATGGAAGATACACTTTAGTTTAAACATAAGAACTCCTTTAGATTATTAATTATTGCACATATGTGACAATAGCCTTATACTTTATGTTATAAGAATCACAAGAAAATAATTTTTGAAAGGCACATGATTATAGTGTTGGCATGTTAGATTTTTATAACCAGCTTATTGAGATGTCTGTCTCAATAGGGTATAAACATGACATGTTTTGCATTTATTATACTCATTATTTTTCAATGGACCATATATATGTTCTGTCACAGTCACTTAAAATTGTCTTGAGTGGATTCCATAACTTTCTTATCAGTCGAATTTAACATTGCAATTTTGTACTGGATTCAAAGCTTTCCTGTCCTCTGTTGGCACAACATGTGGCTTAAGAGAGAGAGAATGAGAGGAGGATAGTGGTCTGCTTTTCCATTCCTCTTCCATCTTCACCTTCTGGAGGTGGCCCTACAGGATGGAGGTAGAGAAGAGCAATAGGGAAGACAAAGTTTTAATTTGTAAAATTACCATACTGCATGTGGGGTGGAACCCTATGTGACACTGGCTTGGTCCTATTTTATCACATTTTATTGCTCTCCATTGATGGAGTGGTCTCCATCAATATGCTGTTCTTTGTGAAAGAATGAGCATTTGTCTGGGGCACTACTCAACCCCACATCCATTCCATCCATTAATTAAGTCTCTGTCTGCAGAGCTGCATGTGTAGCAGTGCAGGCAGCAGTGGCAGCTGCTGTGGAGCTGTCAGGCGAGAGCCCATGGTTGGCTTCAAGTAAACAAAGTGCAGAGCAGCACCAAGCCCGTCATCTGCCTTGGAACCATTGAAACTGGCACCCAAGATCAGCTGCAAGTGCCATTAAAGGGAAATTGCAAGAATTGAGATCTTATATTGATAAAAACTTCCTAATTGCATTGTGGTAATGGTATCAAACAAGAAAAGACAGAACCAAATGACAGAAGATCTGTCCCTATTTCTAGGAAATAATATAATTTGATTCATCGTATGGCTTCATGGTAAACTACTCCCTGTTACAACAAAACCCTCTAGTCTAAATTCTTCTGATACCAACATCTTTAATAGTAACATGCCTTCAAGCAAGATCTCCCCAAGTTTCAGTTGGGGAGATGGAAGAAGGAATGAAGCTGCAGTGCTGCTCCTTGTCATTTCTAGCACTAAACCTTAAAAAAAAAAAAAGATTCCAGAGTCTTTTAAGTTCACAAAAGTAGAAAACCACTAATGTAAGACATATTGTAAGGCTGGAACTACAATTTGACTAGTGTCAACAGTGAAACCATGCAGGAAGCCAGCATCTTCGGAAGATGTGATTGATGATAAGCCAGAACCAGATAATCTCATTGAAGAAGACCTCAATTTTGTGCTGAGGAATCACTTATCTCAAAAAAAAAAAAAAATCTATAGCGACATGTACATATGGGCCTTCTCACCCCTCTGTTGAAATTTACTCAGTATCTTCAAGTTAAAATGCAGATAGAGGTCCATTGAAACAGGTAGTAATTTCAACAACAGCAAAACAATATTCACGCTGCCAAGAGAGTTGATAAATAGAACAAATACATGAAAAGGAGATGTTAGCCAGAATTGCTTAACAGCTTAGAAAAGACTTATAGTCCTTTCTTCAGAAACAGCTCAGAAAAAAATGAGTGTTAAGGAATAAAACTTCTTAAAAAGTTACTTCTGGTAAGTTCAGTTGTTAAAGTAAAAAAAAATCAATTATAGAATAAAAGGAGAAAGGTGTTGATCATGGCTCCTGAACAAGAAGCATCTCCAACAGTGTGTGAGCGCTAGCAAAGCCTGAAGAGACCTTACTTTCCGTCTTCTAAACAAGCTACCAACAATATACTTTGAATGGCTATGTCTGAAGAATAACAATCTAGAAGCAAAAATAACTGTTAGTCTGTTTGCATTGCTATAAAGTAGTACCTGATACTGCATTAAAAAAAAAAAGAAAGAAAAAAGAAAAAAAGGATCCTATTTTGACTTATATTTCTGCAGGCTGTACAGGATGCATAGTGCCAGCATCTGCTTCTGGTGAGGGCCTCAAGAAGCGTATAATCATAATAGAAGGAGAAGGGGAAGCGGGCATATCACTTAGCAAGTGAGGGGCAGGGGAAACCCCAGCCTCTTTAAACAACCAGCTCTCACCTGAACTCATTACTGCAAGTAAGGCACAAAACAAAAAACAGATAAGTTTTTGGAGTATTGCAAGTACTGGCCTACTTGTAGATATGGGGATGAGTGTACTTACCATCATCTTGTTTCACCTTGGAAAGCCTTCCCTAATTGTACATTTCCTGAAAAATGTTTGTTTGTTCACCAAAATTGTAAATACATTGCAAACTGTACTAAACCAGATTGTCCCTTTACTCACATGGGGAGAATTACAGTACTGCCTCCAAACCCAGTAGCTATAATGCCAGCACCACCTTCTAGTAGTCAGCTGTATCACTACTTCCTGGCTTCTAAGGAAACTGAATGTCACTTGTATCATCCAAAACACTGTCGATTTAACATTCAGTGTACAAAGCCAGGCTGTGCATTCTATCACCCCATTGTTACTGTACTGCCACTACATACCTTGGAATGAATTCTACCTCAAACCAGCAAATGACATCCAGTCTTACCTGGCAGAAGGTCTTGCAGTTTGAAATTTTCCATCTACTCATGAAAGATATTCTATAGAACTTGTCAAATCTTTGAAACTTGTAGTATATTGCTTTCATAAAGTGGAGTTTATTACCTAACTAAAGTGTCTAATTTTTCAAGTTTATATGCGTATTAAGTTGCTTAGCATTGGGTGTTTGTTTTGTTTTACCATGAAAAAGTAGTTTAAGGAAAAGCTAAATTCTATTAAAACATTTGAGGCATTTTTGTATACTGCTGTTCTAAGTATCATCATTTATAATGTAATATCATTGTTAGTAATGATACTATATAGTTTAGGGCTATGTCATTGCTATGTGTAGAGAAATATAGTGAGAGAGGCAAGTGTTACAGGCTGAGTATGTTTTATCCAAATGATTTGGACCAGAAGCATTTTTAATTTTGGATTTTTTAAATCTTAAAATATTTGCATTATACTTACCAGTTAAACATCCCTAACTTGAAAATCTGGAACCCAAAATGTTCCTTTGGGCATACCATTTCGGAATCACATCGGTGCTCCAAAAGTATTGGATTTTGGAACATTCCAGAGTTTGGATTTTTGGATTAGAGTTGCTTAACCCATATTATTCTAAAAGTTGAATTGTTGCTTCCACTTTTCCCAAAGATTATATAATGTTCATAATCCTCCATGAAAACAAGAGTGACCAAAAGTGCTGAGATTGCTTAAGATAGTTATTTAATTCTGCTTTTTAAATTTTAAATGAATTTAAGTTGAAAAGCATGATAATACAGGTCTCTTGGGTTGCCTGCCACTTTGGTAAAATGGTTTCCAAGCCCCTCACCTTCTGCAAAAGGTGGCCGTGTAGGGTGAAACAATTGGAATGATAATTATAAAAAAAGATCAATTTTTTTAATGTTTTACTATTGAGGTATGCTTTTAAAATATATTTTGGGGCAACTACATCATCACAAAATTGTACAAAGTTTTTTTGCAAGTATATACATAAGCTATCAGAAAACAGACTTTAAACTTACAAGATTATAAATAAACATGTCTATTCTCACATTCTAAAAAATAATGTTCTCAGAAATCACTTTGCAGAAAATATACTTAGTTACTACTGAAGATAATTTTTGAAATGTAAAAATTAGATTTAGATAGTATATTTTAAAAGGCAGAATTATATAATTACAGAGATCATATGGATATACCCCAAAATAGTGTGAAACTTTTGGCCTACTGTATTTATTTCAGAGGTTTATGTGTGTGGATTTTAAAATTGTGAAGGCAAGAAAAGTCAAAAGCTTTAGAATTAAATAACAAACTGATTATTTATTTCAAAGATGTGATGTATAGTGATGTTTTCAAAAATTAAAGCTTAGAAGGTGGTTAGAAAAGAGTGAATTAATGCAAAAGGGATAATAAAGATTCAAACATTCTTAGGACAAAATTAAGCTAATTCTGTAAAAAAATATAAAAACTAAAACTAAATAAAGCCTCTCTCTAGGAGACATCTATGTCTCGCATTGGTCTCATATCTTCAATTCTCTCTCCTGGTGAGGCGTAACCTCGGTTGAACCAGTGGCCACCGAGACAGCTCTGTTTTCTGCTTCTTTCTCTTACCATCTTCTATTCCCTCTGAGATTTTTCTTTTGTATTTAGACTCTTTATATAATCTCTTCTCGCCTGCTGGGTATATGTCACTCCAATATTCATGGCACTGGAGATTCTGCACTTTAATTACATAGCTCCTCCTCTTACAGGCATTCTATATCACAAGTGATTCTCTTGGAAACTTCTCATATGTCCCTTGCTCCATATTTCTCATTTTTTTTTTTTTACAAAGGAAAAATCTCTTACTCTACCTATTTCACTGCCTTTAAAATGAGTGGTCTTTTACTTTTCTTCTCTCCTACTTTTCACCTTCCATTCCTTTTGCAAAAACAGAAGCAAAAAGCGGCTGCGATGGTGTCTGGGGTTTGCAGGACTGGTTCTGACATCTCATAGGAAGCCATGGGGACAGGTTTGCAATATCATCTGTTACGCATCTTTAAAATTAGCATGCATTTAACATGGTAACATGCAAAGTCCATTCAAATATGGTTAGATGTAGTTTATATGTAATTCTTACCTTTTAGTTTTATATAAATCTATATGAAATTATAGATACTATATTTGATATTTTACTTAAAACCAACTGAAACTTTCCGAGGAAGGATTATTTAATTGAAGCAATTTAATTTACCAGTAACTCAACTAACCTATGGAGCCATAATATAAAGTTTCTATTTTAAAAAAGGTAAACTAGACTAAATCCATGGAACTTGGAGGTATATTTTAGGTTAGTTCTTTAACATCATTTGACAAGTAAAAGTTGAATATCCAGAAATCTCCTTGTTTGTGTCAGATTGGCATGTATCAGGCAGTGTCAAGCAGTGAAGTAATGAGCATGTTTCAAAGCAATATATAAATAATGCAGGTTCACTGTCACTGCAAAGTGTTTTTTTTGTTTTTTTGGTTTATTATTTTCACAATTAAGAAAAATAGGATTCTGAAGCAGAATAAAGCTCAATTAAAACAATATGTTAGAATTGCAATTAATATTTTTAGAACTTGTTCTACATTTAATTAATAAGGCCAAATAATAATCGATGATATGTGTAGAGCTCTGGGATTAAATAAGTGACCTTTGGTGTTAGATCTGAGATTTAATCCCAACTCTGTCACTTGCTATCTGGTCTTCGGAGAGTCAAAGACATTTCATTCTTCTATCTATAACAATAAGACAATGTTATCTACCTTGCAATAAAGTTGTAAGAATTACAGTTAATGTAAGTAGGAAACATAGGTCAGAATAGCAATTTCTAGCAACTCTTAGTATTGTTACAATTTAAAGATTAGATTGGTATCACAGAAGAGAGCCACTGAGGGGAAGAGCTGGAGGGCATCAGCTAGCAACTAGAAATGATGGTATAGCAATGATAGGATGGTATAGGCAATAATAGGATGGTATAGAAATGATGGTATAGGCAATGATTTGGATGTTTAATCCAGTTTCACATCTTACTTGTCTTAATGATCTAGTTTGGCCAAGATGTGAAATGACTAGTGTAAATCACAATTCCATTCTAATAACTAGAGTCTGTTCTTGCTATTTCTCAATGTACAACATTTCTACTGTCAGACTATCAAAACATCCATTTTTGCATACTACTTTTATATATACCACTATCATTTAATAATTTTTAAACTCATTTTTGAGGCAGTGTGAATGACAGGGATTTGAAAGTGGTAGTGACTAATACATCATCTAAGAGCACAGTTGTTGGTTTCATTCCACGTTACTTTGCAAACGGTTGAATTGTGGTTCTTTTCCAGACAAAAGCTAATATCAGGGAATCTTCTTGAGTGAAATCAAGGAGAACAGTGATGTTATTCAGGAATTTTATCAACCACTAGTCTCTAGCCCTCTTGGTGGGTTTAAATAAAACAAATGCCTCATTGAGTGAAATTATTTGGACAGATGTCAGAGTAAACCCAAAGAAAAAAAACCCAGCCCACTGTGAAGGACTCCTCAATTACTGAAGGAGTGCACAGGAGGTGTGCAACAAATCCTATTACTGGGTAATGGGATTTATTCGCATGTCCGGACATCAGTTTGAAAATGTGATTCTACTCAAGACATAAGCAGAAGAGTTCTTATACGGGACAAAATTCTGTCTTCGGGAAAGATAGAATATATTTCACTAAAGTCAATCTGATTCTCCCTTTAATAAATTGCTTGAAGGAAAAGAAAGTCTTTGCTGACACAGAAAATGTTGAAGCCTCCTGAGCTTAGTCCTTTGAAGTACAGTCTACAGCAGGGAGTAGGCAAGAGAATAACAGAATTTTGTCAGAGGTACGCTCCGAAACACTAAGGATTTCTAGCTAAGTGACATTCCTTATTCTTCCTAAGCAAGGACTAGAATATGAATAGTAGAGAATTTTAAAGTGTTACGTATTTTGTACCACGTAGATAGTGAAATATTTATAAGATGCATGGCCAAAATCTCTCTACCCCAGGAAAAAAATACTACAGAATTGAATATTAACACTTTTTTTCATTGCTCTATTGTTTATCAACAATCATTTATCTAAAAATGTCATTAGCTAGAATTATGCTGTATTAAACCAGGGATTGGTAAAAATTTTCTGTGAAGAGCCAGACAATAAATATTTTAGACTTTGTTGGCATATGGTCTCTGTCACTACTGCTTTTCTCTGCTGTGGTAGTGTAAAAGTAGCTGAAAACAATTCACGAATGAAGGGCTGTGGCTGGATTTGGCCAAAGGGTTGTAGTTTGCTGATCCCTGACACTGGCAAATCAGCATCTTTAACAATTACCCCTCATATCTGTTACAGTTCCTGTCACGTGATATAGATTAATAAATAAATATGAAAAAACAATATATGTTTTTGGTAGTTCTTCCTTTCTGTAGAGTAGTCTTTTCTACTCTACCTCTCCTTTTATATGATTCCAGTTGATTAATCCTAAGATAACCTGGACATTCCAAAAAGTTAGCCTCAAAATATGTATTAGAGTTAATTTTATTACATGACTGCTAAAAAAATCATAACCTCAATCTAATCATGAAAGAATATTAGAATAACTCAAAATGTGGAATCTTCTACAAAAATATTAAGGTCAAGAAAGACAAAGGAAGCCTGAGATAATGTTATAAAATAAAGCTAATGTGACAAATATTATTAGCCACTCTGGAGTACAACTTTGATCGGGAAAAGCAAAAAATTATAGAGGGCATTTATTAGGCAAGTGACAAAAATGGGAAAAAAAGATGGAGCTTAAAAAATAGCAATGAATTAGGAAATTTCCTGAATGAAGTTATGAAAATGAATGACCTTGTTCCCAAGTAATACACCTTAAAGTATTTTTGATGGGGGTTGGAGAGCAGTGTCTTCATGTTACTCTCAGTGGTTCAGATGAAATAATATACATGCGTATAAATTGATAGAGAGAAAATGATGAAGTAAATAGGGCAAATCAGGCTAGACAACATACAAGCTTTCCTTGTTAAAAAGTTACTTAAAAGTACTGTTGTCTGCTCTCTCTTTCTGCTTAGATTTGATACACATAAACGGGAAACATTGATATTTTCACATATGTTCTAGCTCTTACTAATCTCTTTCACTTTGAATAGATGAATGGTTAAAATGGTAAAAACTTGGTAAAGCAAATGAATGGATTCAATATTTGTATAGGCATTTAAAAATATTACCTGTTTTCCAGTTTTTCTGCTAAGCAAATAATCCTTAAGGAAAAACCAATAACTGAAATTACTGTAACTTTTAAGCCTTGAAATGTTCAAACAAAGAAATTCTCAGTAATTCACGAAATACCCAATCTGCAGGAAATACTTAAAATAGTTCATTCAGCTATTTATTTAATTAGATTATATTTTGCCTATAAACCAGACTAACAAGAACAAGAACATACAGTGTTTGTGCAGAATGCTGAGCAAGGGCACAACATAGTAATTTAGTTAACCTAGAAAGCAAGTTTTCAAATTGAGACTGTAAGGGAAGAGTTTTAAGTGGATGGAGCCTGAAAGAATGTTAACAAATAATGGACCATTCAAAATTCCCGAATGGTCCAGATAGAAGTTGGTTGGAGAGACAAATGTTTTTTCTGGATGGATAACTTGCTGGTTAGAAAGAATATCTCTTCTCTGTGCAATTTTAGAAGCACTTTGGGTTCATTCTAAAAGAGCTTTGCTTTTAGGCTGGTTTACTTTTCCTGTTTCTATTTACTGGTTTTAAATTATTATAGAACAGGGGAAGAAAATGAATAGCCTCTGATGTTACTCATGCTGGTTCACATGAAACTCTTTTAATTTAGAATATCAAATGAATAAAGAAAGTGTTGAATTATTTTAAGCTACTTCTGTCTTTAAGAATAAACATGAATCTGGACCAGTCACCGAAACTGAGTATCACATCTGTTTGTAAAACAAGAAAAATATAATGAATCTTCATGGACATCAACAGGCTTAATTGAAAAATATCTATTTGGTTGCCTAAAATAATCTGTAAAAAATGTTAAAACCTACTGATTATAATTATATCTATTTTTAAAATTATGAGCTAACCCGAAGCTTAAGTTTCATTATATGACATCCTTTCAGCAAACCTGACAGATTCCTCTGGTTATATTTTTATGGAGTCAATACATTTATTTGATTGCTATGAACGTACCGAAAGCAACAAATGGCAAAGTTATAAGATTAGTTTTATAGATGAAATAATTATAAAGCAACTGGCAAAACAATTCCCTGAAAATTAAAGTATCCTCAAATTTTGCTTTTTCAGAAATTGTGTTGATATGGTTACCGCTTTGCAGTAATATCAACTATTTCTATCTGAAATTGGCAAACTGACCTCCATAAATTGCCATTTATCTTACTCCAGACCTTGCAACATTTCTTCCTCTACAAACTCTTTTCAAATTATAGATATTGTTATCACAGTTGAAGGTCATTTTAAATCTGTTTGTTGGTTCAAATAATGCTTAAAATCAATAGTATTTCCTGCCTATCTCCACACTTGATTCAATGGGTAACGTTGATGCATTCTACAGCACATAGAATCTTTACTGCTGAAAGTCACCTTTATCAAAAGAAATAGCATTAAGGCCTTATTTATTTTTGTTTTAAAGCTTTACTTTGATTGATTTATAGCTTACCAATACCTATTTCTGATTGATGTTTTTTGGGTGTAAAATATACTAATATAATTATGGATTATAATCTGGTATAAAGAATGTTTTACAGATCTTAGTGAATCCTCAATGTATCTTTTTTTTAACAAAGTCAAGTAGCTTGGGGAAATAGAAAATAGTCATCTATTAAATGTCAGTCACAGGTAGATTTTTACACACACATACACATATACTCAAATTATGTATAACTGTTTGTAGGGAGCCCTGTTTTCAATTATTCTTGCTTTCTTTCTTCAGCTCCAAAGGCATTTTGATCCTGCCTCTGTAAAACATGCTATTTATAGCATCTGTGGTTTAAATCTCTGATTTGTCCTTGCCCACCAGTAGCAGCACGGAGAGAATTACAATGGATATTCTACCTTAATATATTATACCATATTATTTGTTTAAATTTCACATATGTTTTGTCTTGGATCAAAAGGACAAATAGATACGGAGTGACATTTTATTATTATAATTGTTTCTATAAATTTATACTCAAGACTCTTTGTGTGTACGTATATAGACATGCATACACACACATATATAAATATATATATTCATATATATGAATTCAAATGTGTGTGTGTGTCTGTGTATATATATGAATTCAAGAAGTACAGCGCAATTTTGTTACCTGGCTACATTGCATAGTAGTAAAATCTAGGCTTTTTGGTGTGTATATATTTTAGCTTTTTGGATATAATCACAGCTACTTCTCGTCTCAAAATTCTGAATGATTTTAACAGTTATATTAATTTGACTTTGACTTATTTTTTTAATCTTAGTACTTTAATAAAAAAAGATCACCTGATTTTATAATTATTTGTTTCAAAGTGCAACATTATATTTTTGTGTAATAAAAACAAACATGAGTGATCATGTCTCTCACAACAACCTCAAACTCCAAGGCTCAAGTCATCCTCCCATCTCAGCCTCCTGAGTAGCTGGGGCCACAGACGCATGCCATCACGACCAACTAATTTTTGTGTATTTTGTAGAGACAGGGTTTTGCCATGTTGCCCAGGCTGGTCTCAAACTCCTTGGCTCAAGCAATCCACTCACCTCATCCTCCCAAAGTGCTAGGATTACAGGTATGTCACTTCTGTTATTGATATTAGTCATCCAAAAAAGCAGTCAATAAGTAAACCAATAAAAAATATGTTTTGACATAAAACCATTTCTAAAATATGTAATTAGGTTCAATTTCTACATTTACTCATGACCATTTATGAACAAAAAATTTAAGAGGAAGAATCTCTTTTTCATGGCACTAAAATTCCATGGTGTTGTGCGGTACTTAGGTCCCATTATAAAATCTAAGTTTAAGTGTGTTCTTCACACAGCAGACTATGGTTAGTATCTGGAAATTAGGTTACTATGCAGTTCTGTTAAAGTGTATAAGGACTTGCACATTTGTACATGAATTTGATGAAAACAAAGTGTATAATTATGCATAATTACCACTGACTTTTTAAAAACAATATAAATGGTTGATAGGTTTCATTAACAGTTTTTATTGAAATTGCATTATCAGAAGTCACAATATTACGTCTTTGTTCATGTTCCAGCTATTATCAAAGATTCATGTCAAATGATAGTAAATTAATATGATGTAAAACAAATTGAATAAATGATACTAACATTAAGCAGAAATACTAATTAATAAAGCAGTACATTTATATAAGTTCCTTATAATGCCTTACATATAAAATAAATTGGGGCTTTGCCTCTAACCTAAATTGTTATAAGTTAAATGTTAATTTTGAAATAATTCATTATATCCTTTTATGTATCATATTGATAACAAACAAATAAGAAATATATAAATGTCAGTACAATTTGGAAAAAATACAAAATGTTAGACATTTGCTATAAATATAATGGGGTTTTTATTTTTTTTGTCAATTTTTTTAAAATTATACTTTAAGTTCCGGGATACATGTGCAGAACATGTAGAATTGTTCCATAGGTATACATGTGCCATGGTGGCTTGCTCCGCCCCTCAACCTGTCATCTATATTAGTTATTTCTCCTAATGCTACCCCTCCCCTAGTCCCCTGCCTGCCAACAGGCCCCAGTGTGTGATGTTCCCCTCCCTGTGTCCATGTGTTCCCATTGTCCAACTCCCACTTATGAGTGAGAACGTGTGATGTCTGGTTTTCTGTTCCTGTGTTAGTTTGTTGAGAATGATGGTTTCCAGCTTCATCCATGTTCCTGCAAAGGACATGAACTCATCCTTTTTCATGGATGCATAGTATTGCATGTTGTATGTGTGCCACATTTTCTTTATCCAGTCTATCAATGGGCATTTGGGTTGGTTCTAAGCCTTTGCTATTTTGAACAGTGCTGCAATAAACATACCTGTGCGTGTGTCTTTATAGTAGAATGATTTATAATGCTTTGTGTATATACCCAGTAATGGGATTGATGGTCAAATTGTATTTCTGGTTCTAGATCCTTGAGGAATCACCACATTGTCTTCCACAATGGTTGAACTAATTTACACTCTCACCAACAGTGTAAAAGTATTTCTATTTCTCCACATCCTCTCCAGCATCTGTTGTTTCTTGACTTTTTAACGATCGCCATTCTGTCATGAGATGATATCTCATTGTTGTTTTGATTTGTATTTCTTTAATGACCAGCGATGATGAGCTCTTTTTCGTATGTTTGTTGGCTGCATAAATATCTTCTTTTGAGAAGTATCTGTTCATATTCTTTGCCCACTTTTTAATAGGGTTGTTTGTTCTTTTCTTGTAAATTTGCTTAAGTTCCTTGTAGATTCTGGACATTAGACCTTTTCCAGATGGATAAACTGCAAAAATTTTCTCCCATTCTGTAGGTTGCCTGTTCACTCTGATGATAGCTTCTTTTGCTGTGCAAAGCTCTTTAGTTTAATTAGATCCCTTTTGTCAATTTTGGCTTTTGTTGCAATTGCTTTTGGTGTTTTAGTCATGAAGTCTTTGCCCATGCCTATGTCCTGAATGGTATGGCCTAGGTTTTCTTCTAGGGTTCTTATGTTTTATGTCTTATGTTTAAGTCTTTAATCCATCTTGAGTTAATTTTTGTATAAAGTGTAAGAAAGGGGTCCAGTCTCAGTTTTCAGCATATGGCTAGCCAGTTTTCCTAATACCATTTATTAAATAGGGAATCCTTTCCCCATTGCTTGTTTTTGTTAGGTTTGTCAAAGATCGGATGGTTGTAGATGTGTGGCATTATTTCTGAGGCCTCTGTTCTGTTTCATTGGAGGATACATACAAATGGAAAAACATCCCATGCTCATGGATAGGAAGAATCCATATTGTGAAAATGGACATTCTGCCCAAAGTAATTTATAGATTCAATGCTATCTCCATCAAGCTAC
The DNA here is from genome assembly GCF_000001405.40 of Homo sapiens. Classification (NCBI taxonomy): domain Eukaryota; kingdom Metazoa; phylum Chordata; class Mammalia; order Primates; family Hominidae; genus Homo; species Homo sapiens. The sequence continues at coordinate 94,431,910 of NC_000006.12, read as the reverse complement.
CATTGACTTTTGTCACAAAGTTAGAGAAAACTACTTTAAATTTCATAAGGAACCAAAAAAGAACCCATATAGCCAATACAATCCTAAGCCAAAAGATCAAAGCTGGAGTCATCATGCTACCTGATTTCAAACTATACTACAAGGCTACAGTAACCAAAATGGCATTGTACTGGGGTTGTTACTTTCTTAACTTACAGTCTCATATGAGATTAATTTCAATCCAAAAACCAAATGTTAGGTTTATTAAAAACACATATTCCTTTCAAGAAAATTGTTTTCTGCTTTATTATAAGTAAAATTAAATGTACTTAAAACAAGATATATTAAAGATCTTAATGGACCATAAATCGTGTTCAAATGATTGCCTTCATCCTCTAAATTTAATTTTCAAATCCACTTATTTCATGCCATGTGTAGAACTATGAAAGTTTTATTCAACTGCTTTTCTGAATCTTTTTAAACATCTGTGTTTCTTTTTGTTGATATTGAGTACATTAGCTAAAGATAAAAATATACATAGGAAAGTTATCTTGCCTAGTTTTAAAATTTGGCAAAAAAAAATTCAGGAAAAAAACCACACAGCTACTGTTGGCCATTTAAGCTTCTGAATGTATAACTCATATTTGGCATTAGCATAACAATATTAGCTAAGGGCAAGGCAACATAGGAGTTTTCCTTTTAAGTTATTTATATGAATTTAAATCAGATCACCCGTGAGGTATCTCTCGGCATTACTGGTAAACTATTTACGGACACAGAACACAAATGAGAACTGAGTCCTTTTTCTTTGCTAGCAGTCTCATTAAAATCAGCACAGGTAAAGTCATGACAGTAACAAACTTCAAGTAGCCATAAGTACTACAGATGTTATTTAGTTTTAATTTTCTATCCGAAATTTTTAAAATCATTTAATTGGTTAGAAATATTTATTGAATTCTAAGCAGAAATCACTTGCTTTGGGGAAAATTATTGCAAGACAGACAAAATATCTCCTCTTAAGTTCTCAGTCAGTGAAGGAGGTAATATTTACCTGCCCACATGAAAATACTACATGTTTTTTTAAAGCAGTCACATCCTGCGATGTATGAATACAATTAAAATATGATGACATTTGACTACTTTTAATGTAATAAATTGTTAAATTATAACTAGTTAAGTCTAACGAACAAAGAATAATGAAACTTGCTAGAGAAAAAGCAAGAGTATTTCTGAAGTGTGGGATTTTTGCTTGTTTCTTTGTTTGTTTCTGGTCCTGTAGGGAGATGGCATTTTGGGAGAGGAGTCATCCCATAGGAGAAATTAATCTTCAACATCAAAGACAGAAATCTGAAAAAAATTACATTAAGCAAAAATGTTGCATATTGAATAATTTTCAGAGAGTTGGCCTTAAGAATGTGGCCTAGTGTTTTGCCAAGAATATAGAAATATCGACCTGATTACTTGTTTAAACTAATTATAGTTGTGTTTATGTGAGTGATTTGTGTTTTTGCTGATTGGCTTCTTTTTATGAAGCATGGAGATATTAATTCATTTATTTAATAAACATTTACTGATTGCATCAAGCACATTTTTTCTAGATTTAAAAAGCATTAAAAACAATGAAAGAGAGAATCCCTGTTTTCAAATATCTTAAAGTATCCCAGACAGTAACATTTGTCTTCTGACCCACCCCTCATGAATAACTTGCAAATACATTTATAGGCTACTTTATAAAAGACACAAACAAATAAACAAACTATGTAACCAGGCAGCAAAAGAGATGCACTTAACAAACCAGACAATATTTAAGATTAAAGGAGGTGACATCAGCAACATAGCAGCATGGAAACCTCTTGAGTCTCACTCTACCCAGGGACGCACCCAATAAACATGTATTCACAGATTTATTTTCTCTGAGACAAAGTCAGAGACCAGTTGAGAGACTCCAACCCACTGGGCAACTAAGCAAACATCGAAGGGTAGAAAAAGCTAAGGCACAGTTCAGTATAAATCCCAGTCCAGTCAGTGCACCATAAAATTGAGAAAGAAATCTCTAACCTCTACCTTCTCCCTGTGGAGAAGAGGACTTGGACCTCACATATACCACCTTACCTCTAAGATCTGTCTAACTCTAAGGCTATTAATTCATCACCTCTGTGAATGAAGTGGGTTTGACATACATGAGTCTTTCTAAACCACAGGAAAAAACACAGTGGTTCTCTAATGGCACACGCGTACTTTTAGGGGCTTCATCCCCCAGGAGTAGTCCAGAGAAGGGACTTTTAAAAAGCAGCTCCCTGTTTATCCCTATGAAAGGTTTATGATACACTCTTCCAGGGGATACTTAGCAGCCTGGCTTTAAATGAACTTGCATTGCAGAGCTAACAGTGTAAACTAACAGTAGCTCTTTGGCAGCCTAAGCCAGAGATTGGCACTTCACAAGCATTTCCTCTGGTTCTACTAAGTGACAAATCCTGGTCTACCCGTTCTTCTTGCAAGGAGTTTGGCCATGCAATGTGTGTCACAACTTTTATAGCTCCTACCCAAGGGAGTGTCTTCTTAACCATGTAGCTCTGAGAGTTGATGGGGCTTTGTATTCCTGAGAGGAGGCCACAGTTTACAGAAAAATAATGGAACATATAAGCAACCCACGTCCAACAGCTATCTTCTCAGGATCAGAGGTTATAGCCTAAGTATGAGTACAAGTATTTGCCGCAGATTCTCTCCATGGCTTAGTGCAGAGACTGTGGGACATACATTCCTATGTTCAGCTTGATTGTGAAGATAGAAGAAACTGGGACACACATCAAATACTCCAACCTTTCTAGCTACGTCTACAGAATATGACTTCTACCTTACTCGTCTTGAGGTACTGACAGGACGTGGCATATCATGTACTCCAGGGAGCCAACAAAAACAGAAATAGTAGTCTGGTTAAACAGAAAGATTTGAGAGGTGCCTTAAAATCTCAGTCTGAATGGATTGGTGAGATTCTTCTCCTACGTGAGGCCAGTCTGACAAGACTGAGGGAGATAGTTGCCTTACTTTATGTGAATAAATCAACACACAGAGTCAAGTAAAATAAAGAAACTGTGAACTATATTCCAAATAAAAAGAGAAGATAAGGCTCCAGAAAGTGACCTGAGTGAAGTGGAGACGTGTGATCTACTCAAGAGGGAATTCAAAATACTGGTCAAAAAGATGCTCACTGAAATCAGGAAAGCATTGCAAAAACAAACAATTTCAAAAGGATAGAAACTACAGTTGGCCTCCATATTCATGAGTTCTGCATCTGTGAATTCAACCAAATAGGGATTAAAAATATTTTTAAAAGGCAAAACAATAGAACATAACATTACAACAGTGAAAAAAATACAGTGTAATAAATATTTAATAGTATTTGCATTCTCTTAGGTATTATAAATAATCTAAAGATGATTTAGCATATACTGAAAGATGTGTGTTGGTTATATGCAAATATTAAACCATTTTATAGAAGAGACATGGGCATCTGTGGATTTTGGTATCTGTCAGCTGTACTTGAACCAATCCCTTGTGGATACTGAGGAACAACTGTATAAAAAAGCACAAAGTAGAAGTCATAGAGATAAATAATACTTTAAGTGAGCTGAAAATATCAATTGGGGTGGTTAAAATTAGACTAGATCAGGCCGAAGAAATTATCAGTAAACTCAAAGACAGGTCAACAAAAAGCATACAGGCCCAGCACTTTGGGAGGCCGAGGTGGGTAGATCACGAGGTCAGGAGTTCAAGACCAACCTGGCCAGTCTTGAATGATGAAACCCCGTCTCTACTAAAAATACAAAATTTAGCCTGTAATCCCAGCTCCTGGGGAGGCTGAGGCAGGAGTATCACTTGAACCCGGGTGGCAGAGGTTGCAGTGAGCTGAGATCACGCCATTGCACTCCAGCCTGGGCAACAGAGAGAGACTCTGTCTCAAAGGAAAAGAAAAAAAAAAAGCATACAATCTGAGAAACAAAAAGAAGGAATGAAAAAGAGTGAGGATAGTTTAAGAGACTTACAGAACACCATCAAACATAACAACAGCTGTATTATCTGTGTACCAGAAGGAGAAGAAAGAGATAAATAGAAAATGTATACAAAAAAAAAAAACAGAAAAATTCCCAAGCCTGAAGAAAAATATAGAAATTCAGATCTATGAAGCGCAAATATTATCAAATGATATGACTCCAAAGAGACCCATACTGAGACACATCAGAATCAAATTGTCAAAATATGAAGAGAACTTAGAAAATAGCAAAGGAAAAGCAAATTGTTACATAAAAGAACCTCCATAAGATTATCAGCAGATATCTCAGCAGAAATCTTGCAGGGCAGGAGGGAGCTGGAAGATAAACTCAAAATACTAAAAGGAAAAAATATGTTAACCAAGAACACTATAAATACTAATCATGTCTTTCAGTCCTGCAATCCTGTCTTTTAAAACTTACAGGGTGATAGGGGAAGTAGGCAGAAGAAGTTGGTTAAATAGAACACTCCAGTGATTGCCACCATCACCCCACTTTGCATGAAAAACAAATCGAACAGCTATCTACACAAAAAAGGACCTCTACAAGAACCAAAAATCAGGTGAGTGATCATACTGTACCTGGTTTCACATCATATAAAGAGGTACTGAAGAAAATAGGAAAGGCAGTCTTGAATTGCCTACATTATTTCTTCTCCATGCCCCAGCAGCAGCCATGTTGCACAGAGAGAATCTGTGTGCTTGGGGAAGGGAAAACAAAGTGATTGTCAGACTTTGAGTTGAAATTTAGTGCTGTTCTGTCAGAGTAGAAAGCAAAATGGGGCAGAATTTGACTCATTCTCATGGAGGAAATATTTAGATTAGCCTTAGCCAAAGGGGAATTGTTTGTCCCAGCAGTTGGAACATGAGTTCTGGCTGGTACCACCAATATAGGCTAAAGTGTTCTGGGACCTAAATAAATTTGAAAGACAGAACTGCAATTTCTGGACAAGTTCTTGTGCTGTGTTAGGATCAGAGCCAATGGACTTGGGGCTCATGTGACCAAGTGAGACGCTAGCTAGAATGGCAAATGAGGTGCTGGCATAACCCCTTCCCCAAAACCAGGCAGTGCAGCTTGCAACTTGAGAAGGAGAGAGAAGAATAAAGAAGATATTGTCTTGCAACTTGGATACTAGCTCAGCCACAGTAAAACAAAGCACCAAGAAGAGTCCTAGACCCCTCATTTCAGACCATAGCTCCCATATGACATTTCTGGACCCACCTTGGGCCAGAAAGGAACCCACTCTTCTGAAGGAAAGGACCCAGTTCTGGCAAAATTCTCCACCTTCTGACAAAAGAGTCTTGTACCTTGAATAAACATCAATGGTAGCAAGGAAATAGCTGCTACAGCCCTTGGGTGAGACCCAGTATTGTGCTGGCCTTAGATGTGAACCAGTAAAGTCCCAATGGTGATAGTTACAAGAGTACTTGCATCACCACTCCCCAACTCCAAGTAGCACAGCATGGAGAGAGAGGCTCCATTTGCTTGCGGGGGAAGTTAGGAAAGAGAATAAAAGACTCCACCTGGCAATCAAGGAAATTCTCATGGATCTTACCCAAGACCACTAAGGTGGTACCTCTATGGCTATGCAAGATTTGGAGCACTACTGAGCTTGAGGTGCTTCCTAATGCACATACAGATGCAGTGAACAAAGATTTAGATAATGACACTCAATTCCATGTGAATGCTTGGAAACCTTCTCAAGGAGGATGGGTACAAACAAACCAAGACTATAAAGATTAGAATAAACAACTTGGTCTTTAATGACCAGATGTTGTTGAACATCCATAAGCATCAAGACTACCCAGGAAAACATGACCTCACCAAATAAACTAAATAAGGGGCCAGTGACCAGTTGTGGAGTAACCAGATGTTTGACCTTCAGACAGAGAATTCAAAATAGCTCTTTTGAGGAAACTCAATGAAATCTATGATAACACAGTGTAAACATTCAGAATTCTAGCAGATAAGTGTAAGAAAGAAATAGAAACAGTTAAAAACAATCAAGTAGAAATTCTGGAGCTAAAAAGTTTAACTGACAAACTGAAGAATATATCGGAATCTCTCAACAACAGAATTAATCAGTCAGAGGAAAGAATTAGTGAGCTTGAAGTTAGGCTATTTGAAAATATACAGTCACAGTAGCCAAAATAAAAAACAATAAATTGTAAGGAAGCACACCTACAAGATCTAGAAAACAGCTTTAAAAAGGCAAATCTAAGAGTTATTGACCTTAAAGGGAAAACTTATAGACCAGGAGAGAGTGTCATGGTATATATAAAATGCTAAAAGAAAAAAAAAAAAGAAAGAAAAATTTTATCTTAGAATAGTATATCCAGAAAAGAATACCCTTCAAACATGAAGGAGAAATAAAGACTTTCCCAGACAAACAAAAACCAAAGGATTTCCTCAACAACCGACCTGTCCTGCAAGAAATGGTAAAGGGAGTTCTTTCATCTGAAAGAAAGGAAAGTTAACAAGCAATTCTGAAGGTACAAAATTTGCTGGTAACAGTGAGAACACAGATAAATACACAATATTGTAACCTTGTAATTGTGGTGTATAAAGCGCTCATATCTTTAGAAAGGGGAATATCAGATGAACTTATCAAAAATAATAACTACAACAACTTCAAGACATAGTATATATAATAAGATATAAATAGAAACACCAAAAAGTTGAAAAGCATGGGGGATGAAGTTAAAGTGTAAGTTTTCTTTTTATCAGTTTTCTTTTTACTCGTTTGTTAGATTATTTATTTGTTTATGTAATGAGGGTTAAGTTGTCATGAGTTTAAAATGATAGGTTATAAGATGTTCCTTGCAAACCTCATAGTAACATTAAATTAAAAAAAAACCTAAAAGAGATACACAAAAATATAAGGCAAGAAATTAAAATGTATCACCAGAGAAAATTACTTTAATCAAAAGGAAAATGGAAGGAGGAAGGAAGGAAGGAAGGAAGGAAGGAAGGAAGGAAGGGGAGGTCATAAACCAACCATAAAACAAATAACACATGGCAGGAGTAAGTCCTTACTCATTAATACTAACATTGAATGTAAATAAACTAAGCTCTCCAATCAAAAGTTATAGAGTGAATGAATGGATTTTTTTAAAGGCACAATGATCTGTTGCCTAAAAAAGAAATACACTTCAACTGTAAAGACACATATAGCCTGAAAATAAAGAGATGAAAAAATATTCCATGCAAATGGAAACCAGAAGAGAGGGGGCATAGCTATACTTACGTCAAATAAAAAAAAAATTTAAGACAAAAACTATGAAAAGAGATAAAGAAGTTCATTAGATAATGATAAAGGGATCAATTCAACAAAAGAATGTAACAATTGTAATATATATGCACCCAATATTGGCATACTCAAATTTATACAGCAAACATTAGAAACGCAGAGAAATAAACTCCAATACAATAATAGTTGGAGACTTCAAAACTTCACTTTCATCAATGGACAGATCATTCCGATAGAAAATCAATAAACATCAGACTTAGTCTGCACTATAGACCAAATGTACCTAATTGATATTTACAGAACATTTAATCTAATGGCTGCAGAATACACATTCTTCTCCTCAGCACATGGATCATTCTCAAGGATAGACCTGCATGTCAGGCCACAAAGCAAATGTTTTAAAAATCCAAAGAAGTAAAGAAGTGAAATCATATCAAGTATCTTCTCTGACCACAATAGAATAACACTAGAAATAAAAAAAAACTGTCAGATCTGGTAAACAAATTCAGTAAAGTTGCAGAATACAAAACAAACATACAAAAATCGGTAGCATTTTTATATGTCAACAGTGACCAATCTGGTAAGACACCTAGGACTATACTGAAGCAGAGTAGTGAGAGATGTCTACAATGAAAACTATAAAACATTGATACCAGAAATTAAAGAGCACACACACACAAAAGGAAAGATACTTTATGTTCATAGATTAGAAAAATCAATATTGTTAAAATGCCCATACTACCCAAAGCAATCTACAGATTCAGTTCCATCCCCATCAAAATACCAATGACATTCTTCCCAAAAGTAGAAAAAAAATTCTAAAATGTATATGGAACCACAAAAAATCCAGAATAGTGATAGCCATCCTGAGCAAAAAGAACAAAACAAGAGGAATCACTTTACCTGACTTCAAATTATACTGCAGAGCTGTAGTAACCAAAACAGCATGGTATTGGCATAAAAACAAACACATGGATCTGTGGAACAGAATAAGGAACCCAGTAATAAATCAACGCATCTACAGTGGATGCATTTTTAACAACGGCATCATGAACATACAATGGGGAAAGGACGGTCTCTTCAACAAATTGCTGGGAGGGATGGGAAAGATGGCAAATGGTGATAGTTAATGGGTACGAAAATATTTAGAATAATTAAAATCTAGTATTTGGTAACAGAAAAGAGTGACTACTATTGGTAATGATTTGTTGTACATTTTATAATAATTGAGGGCATATAATAGGTAGGTTCATTATATGAAGAAATTATGATTGCTGGAGGTTATAGATACTCCATTTGCCCTGGAGTATGTATGCCAGTATCAAAATATCTCATGTACTCCATGAAGGTATAACCCTACTATGCACCCATAAAAATTAAAAATTTAAACATTTAAAACAAAATTGAAGGATGATAAAGAGTTTTTCAGACTAACAAAAACCAATTGAGTTAATCACCACTGTACATTCCTTACAAGATATGTTAAGGTGAGTTGTTTAAGCTGTTTAAGCTAAAGGAAATGATGCTAATTAGTAATATGAAAACATATGAAAGTATAAAAATCACTGGTAGAGGTAAGTACACTGTAAATCCAAACACTCTAATACTGTAATGGTGTTGGGTAGGTTATTTATATCTCTAGTATGAAGGATAACAGACAAAACAATTACAAACAACTAAATCCATAATGATTTGTTAAGGAATGCTAATTATTTTAAAATGTAATTGCAACATCAAAAATATAAAACATGGAAGGAGCAGGAGAAAAAATGTGGAATGTGTATATGCAATCAAAGTTACATTATTTTTAGCTTAAAATAGTCAGCTGTTAGTATAAGAAGTTTTATGTTAGCTTAAGGGTAACCACAAAGCAAAATTCTATAATAAATACAGAACAGTCAAAAAGAAAAAAAGCCAAAGCATACCACTTACAGAAAGCCATCAAATTATACGCACAGATACCAAAGAAAAGCAATAGGGGAAGAAAGAAACAAAAAGTCTGCTAAAGAACCCGAAAATAAGTAACAAAATGGCACTAGTAAGTCCTTATCTATCAATAATTACTTTAAGTGTAAATGGATTAAATATTCTAATAAAAAATGTGCAGTAATTGAATGGATAAAAAATAACTCACCTCTAGGCTGTCTAAAAAAGACTCACTTCACCTTAACAGACTCTGAGAGACTGAAAGTAAAGGGATAGGAAAATATATTCCATGCAAATGGAAATTAAAAAACACCAGGGGTAGCTACACTTATTTCAAACAAAATAGACTTGAAATCAAAAACTGTAAAAAGAGACAAAGAAGGTCATTATATAGTGATAAAGGTGTCAATTCATCTAGAGGATAAAACAATTATAAATATATATGTACCCAACATAAGAGCACTGAAATATTTAAAGAAAACAATAAGACACCTGAAGGGAGACAGACGGCAATATAATAATTACAAGGGCTTTCAATACCCCACTTTCAGCCATACACAGATGATCTAGACAGAAAATCAATAAACATTAGACTTGAAATACACATTAGACCAAATGAATCTTACAAACATATATGTAACATTTTGCCCAACAGCAACAGAATATACATTCTTTCCAAATGTAAACAGAACATTCTCCAAGATATATCATATGTTATTCTCAACACAATACTAGCAAATCATTAAGCCATATATCAAAAGGATCATTCATCATGACCAAGTGAGAATTATCCCTGAGGTGCAAAGTAGTTTCAAAATATGCAAATTATTTAATGTGATTCACCATATTTATTGACAAAGGACAAAAACAATGACCATCTCAATAGATGCAGAAAAAGCATTTGACAAAATTGAATATCATTTTATAATAACAACTCAACAAGTTAGGTATAGAAGGAATATCCCTCAATACAATAAAGGCTATAAATGACTAGCCCACAGCTGTATCATACACAATGGTTAAAAAAACAATTGAAGGCATTTTCTTTAAGATCAGGAGCAATATAAGAATGCCCATTCACGGATCACGAGGTCAGGAGATCGAGACCATCTTGGCTAACACGGTGAAACCCTGTTTCTACTAAAAATACAAAAAATTAGCCGGGCGTGTTGGCGGGCGCCTGAGTCCCAGCTACTTGGGAGGCTGAGGCAGGAGAATGGCATGAACCTGGGAGGCGGAGCTTGCAGTGAGCCGAGATCGCGCCACTGCACTCCAACCTGGGAGACACAGCGAGACTCCGTCTCAAAAAAAAAAAAAAAAAAAAAAAAGAATGCCCATTCATACCACTCAGGTTCAATGTAGTACTGGAAGTCCTAGTCCTATAGTTTAGTACTTCAGTATGGCAAGAAAAGAGAATAAAAGACATCAAAATAGGAAAGGAAGAAATGAAACTGCCTGCTTGCTGATGGCATAATCTTATATAAGGAAATACTAAAGAATCCACCAAAAAAAAAAAAACTGTTGAAATCCATAAATGAATTTAGTAAAAATGTAGGATACAAACTCAACATACAAAAATTAGTGGCATTTCTATAGACTAACAATAAGCTATCTGAAAAAGAAATTAATTAAAGTCTTATTTACAACAATGTCATCAAATAAATTACTAGGGAATAAATTTAACCAGGGAGGTAAAAGATTTTTATACAAAAATTATAAAACATTGATGAGACTATTAAAGATCACACAAATAAATGGAAAGGACATATCAGTTTATGAATTGAAAAAATTAATATTTAAAAAATGCCCATACTACCCAAAGCGATCAACAGAATCAATGTAATTGCTATCTTAACTTTGTCATTATGCACAGAAATAAAAAAAAAATCTAAAATTCAAGTGGAACTGCAAAACATCCTGAATAGCTAAAGCAATCTTTACCAAAAAGAATAAAGCTGAAGGTATCACACTACAAGATTTTAAAATTTATTACAAATCTATAGTAATCAAAATAGCATGATACTGGAATATAAACAGAAATATTAGGTATTTCTGTTAATACCATCCCTCCCCCAGCCCCTCACCCCAAACAGGCCCTGGTGTGTGATGTTCCCCGCCCTCTGTCCAAATGTTCTCATTGTTCAATTCCCACCTATGAGTGAGAAAATGCAGTGTTGGGTTTTCTGTCCTTCTGATAGTTTGCTGAGAATGATGGTTTCCAGCTTCATCCATGTACCTAATGCAAATGATGAGTTGATGGGTGCAGCAAACCAACATGGCACATGTTGTAACAAACCTGCACATTGTGTACATGTACCCTAGAACCTAAAGTATAATACATGTACATGTACCCTAGAACTTAAAGTATAATAAAATAAATAAATAAACAGAAATATTGACTATGAATCTATTGATTCATAGAAGTAAATAAGATAGAGAGCCCAGAAATAAATGCACATGTCTTCTATGGCTAATTGATTTTCAACAAAGGTGCTAAGAACACGAAATGATGAAAGGACGATCTTTTCAGTAAATAGGGCTGGGAAAACTAGAAATGTACATATAGAAGAACAAAGATTGACCCTTAACTTGCCCCTTATAAAAGAATCAACACAAATTGGATTAAAGGCTTAAACTTAAGACCTGCAGCTATAAAACGGCTAGTGTGAAACATAAGGGAAAAGCTCCATGACATTGGCTTGGGCAGTAATTTCCTAGATATGACACCAATAGTGCAGGCAATGAAGCAATTATAGACAAATAGTATTGTTTCAAATGAAACAGCTTCCACACAGAAAAGGACATAATTAATAGACCGAAGAGGGAATCCACAGATTTGGAGAAAATAATGGCAAATCATACACTGAATAAGGGCTTACTATTCAAAATATGCAAGGGACTTAAACTACTCAAGAACAAGAAAACAAATAACCCTATTTAAAAATGGGTAAAGGATTTGAATAAAGATTTCTCAAGAAAGACATACAAATGGCCAAGAGATACAAGAAAAAATGTTCAACACCTGTAATCATCAGAAATACTCAAATTAATACCATCGTGAGACATCACCTTGTACCCGTAAGATTGCCTATTATTTAAAAAGGAAAAGAAAAGATTATAAGTGTTATAGAGGATGTGGAGAAAAGGGAATCCTTATACACTATTGGTTGTATTGTAAGTTAGTACTGTCATTTTTGAAAACAGAATGGTTTCTCCCAAAAAACTAAAAACAGAATTACCATATGATCCAGCAGTCTTACTTCTTGGCATATACTGAGAAAGAACTGACGTCAGTATGTCAAAGAGATATCTGCACTCCCATGTTCATTGCAGCACTATTCACAATAGCCAAGATATGGAAACAACATAAATGTCCATCAAAAGATGACTATATTTTTAAAGGTGATATATATACATAATAGAATACTATTCAGGCCTTAAAAATCCAGGAAATTCTATCATTTGCAACGGCAAAGATGAACCTGGAGGACATTATGGTAAGTGAAATAAGCCAGGCACAGAGAGACAAATACTGTATAATCTCATATGTGAAATCTAAAAAACTCAAATTCATAGAAGTAAAGTAGAATGCTAATTACAAGAGGCTGGGAAGTGGAGGGCGGATGGAAAAAGGAGAGACATTGGCCAACGTGTACAACGTTTCAGTTAGGACGAATCAGTTCTGCGTTCCATTGCACAGGATTTTAAATGTTTTCATCACAAAATAATGATTTTAAATGTTTTCATCACAAAATGATGATTTTAAATGTTTTCATCACAAAATAATGATAAATATATGGGGTGATAGATATAGGAACCTGCCTGCTTTGATCATTCCACAATGTATACCTGTAATAAAACATCATTTTGATCTGGGAATTCTCTCTCTTTGAGAAACAACTGAGCTTAAGGAAGCTATGCCTGATTCACAAGTTTTTGCGAAAGCAAATATAGTCATTATTCCCTAACACCACTTCTTGCCAGCAGCAAGTATATCAAAACTAAAATTTGACAAGTTATAATTTTGAAACTTTGGATATGATTATATATGTGTATTTTAAAATGTCTATTCCACTTTTTGGGGAAGAGTAATACTTAATTGGGATTATAATATTTTCATCTGCATCAGCTTCACACACACACAAACTCAAGAATATAAACTATATACACATAATTATAATATATGCATAAAATGTATGTATATTATAATCAAATACATACACGTAATGCATACATAAACATATAAATTTTGTAGTATTAATTACATACAACCTTTATATGTAATTTTAAAACACCCACATGTGCATAGAAAGAGACGTGTTATTTCACGATTACTGTTATGAAGAATCTTGTTATTTACGTTGCATGGGTTAGCTCATTTAATACTCATATTGACACTATGAGTGAGATAATAATATTATCCTTATTCTATAGGTGATGTTTGATAAAGGAAATGAAGGACAAATAAGTTAAATCATTTGTCCATAAGTACATAGTTAAAAATGTTTGAGTCTGGATTATTTGCCATTACAGCTTGATCTCTTAGCCATTGATACATTGAAATCTTGATTCAATTATTTTCCTCTTCTGATTCTGTTTAGTTAGTACTGGTAAATTACCCTTTCATTGTTGAAATATTTGTTCCCTTGTTATTAACTGGAGTGTACTTCAAGGTTTCTCCTCTGATCATTCAGTTTCTGTCCTTCACTAGTTCATACCTTGAACATCTGTTCTTTTTCTTTACTTGCTGCTTTGGAAAGCTTATCATTTCCCTTCAGTCTCCTCTGTGTCAATATGATCTCTAAAACCTTTAAATTCTCCTATCTATAGATGACAGCTATATTTATTTATTTGTCATCTCTAACAAATCAAACTGTCTAAAAGAAAATTTATCTTGCTTATGGTGGAATAGTCTTTCTAGCCAGGATATTTTTATTTATCACTAGTACTAGAACCTTCTTGGTCCCCGAATCTCTAAATATTGGGGTTAATTTTTTTTTCTTCATAAAGTTTATCCTTCATAAAATTCTACCATTTCTTTTGATTTTTCAGTCACTCTTCCCATATGTCACACAAACTTCTTCATAGCCTTCTACTCTGTCTACTTTGCTCCCAACTGCTTTGCTTCTTGCATGTTATTGCTGATCTTGCACTTTCCTAATGGACTGATGTTTCCAAAAGATTTTCACATAATCTTTTATAGGAAATTCACTTTGAGGTTTTATTATTCCTCTGGGGGGGAAAAAAAGCATTTGATTTTTTTCATATAAGATTAGGGCATTCCAGAGTACCACCTTAATTTTACTAACTTTCTTTATTCATGTCCTCCATATGAATCAAGCCATCTTCAGTCCTGTGTCTCTTTGTTAATTTCCTCATCAGAAATGCTCTAATATGTATTTCAAGTTGTATCCCATAATTTCATCAATACACAGTCAAAGACCACTTTAGTTTATGATACTCCATGGTCATCTTTTCCTGTTTTCAATTCTTTGTCATTTGTAAAACTGTACATGTTTTCTTCAACATATAGCATTGGGATGTTTTTTGTGACATACAGGACTTGAATGTACACATAGACTAATTTTCCTTAGGACTCTAACTGCTTTTCTTATTTCTGTTGCAAACTTATCAGTATTTACTGGAGATCCAGGTCACAGCAGATACTAAT